>NC_000004.12:85588047-85739562 GCF_000001405.40 Homo sapiens | reverse complement strand
GGCTTTACACAGCCAGTTAGCACAATTTAAAATGATCTTTCTGGAATTTGGAAGAAAATGGATTCTAGAAGGATTAAGTGCAGAAATCTAACAGAAAGATGATTTGGTATACATGAGAAGAAACAGGAGACAGAGAGAAGAAAACCGAGCAGAGATATATTTTGGAAGCAGAATCAGCACCACTGGTTGATGATTGGATGTCAAGTGTGAGAAACAGAGAGGATGCAAGGATAATGCCCTGACTTATGGCAAGTCCTAAGCTTTTCGTTCAGTTAAATGCATATTGACCACCTGAAGATGGAAATGCATAGAAGGGTTCTGGGTAGACTCAAATTACAAAGCCTACTGCACCAGGGAGGCAGGGGAGAGGGAGGCAAGCAAGAAGAGAGCTAGGTGAGGGAGCCCAAGCAGTCCTCCTGGCCTGAAGCTAGGAAAGGGGCAAGGCCATGGCAAGAAAATCAGTCAACAGAGGAGTCAGGTGTGGCATGGTCTCTAAATGCTTCTTTTATTTTCAAGGCTTTAATAACATCAAAAGGCAATCCATGGTGTTCTCAGGCTAGAACTTGGGGATCCTCCCTCCAGCTAAAATAGACAGCAGGCGGCAGACAAGAGAATTATTGAAAATTAAAGAATGAGACTTTTTAAGAAACATGCCTGGTCTTATGCCATCTGCAGCTGACTCAACCAGAGGGAGAAAAACTCATCCTTTAAAAAATGAAAATGATACCAAGACAATCCAATGAGAACAAAAATACTGTGTTCAACACGTGGTGCTGGAAAAACTAGACAATCCACATGCAAAAAATGAAGTTAGATTCCTTTCTTATACCATACACAAAAAATTAACTCAAGGTGAATAATAGACATAAATGTAAGAGCTAAATTATAAAACTCTTAAAAGAAAATATGGGGATAAACTTTCATGATCTTGATTTAGGCAAAGCCTGCTTAGACATGACAGAAGGTGATCAAAGACAAAAGAGATAAATTGGATTTTATCAAAATTAAAAACTTCTGTGGTTCAAGGACACCACCAGTAAAGTAAAAGAACAACTCATGGGATAGGAGAAAATATTATAGGTTTTATATCTGACATGAGGTTTGTACCTAGACTATATAAAGAACTCTTACAACCTGACAATAATAATAATAATAATGATAATAATAATAATAATAATAATAATAATAATAATAAAAGCCCAAATGAAAACTAGGCCAAAGATTTGAAAACACATTTATCCAAAGGAGATATATGCAAATGGTCAAAGGCACATGAAAAGATAGTCAATATTAATTAGCATTAGGGAAATGCAAATAAACCACAATGAGATACCACTTCCTACCCAATAGAGTGGCCATAATAAAAAAGATAGATGTACTCTGGGAGGCCAAGGTGGGTGGATCACCTGAGGTCAGGAGTTCGAGACGAGCCTGGCCAACATGGTGAAACTCTGTCTCTACTAAAAATACAAAAATTAGCTGGGCATGGTGGTGGGCGCCTTTAATCTCAGCTACTTGGGAGGCCGAGGCATGAAAATCACTTGAACCTGGGAGGTGGAGGTTGCAGTGAGCCGAGATCATACCACTGCATTCCAGCCTACATAAACCAAGCACACTAGGAATGGCAGTGGTATTCCTACTTATACTGACAAAATCAAGAAAATTTAATACTAATATAATCAAAGAGAATATGGAAGAGTGGAAAGACAGCTAAGTAGAATGTTGCTAAGTATGAGCCAGCTTCCTTCCTTTCACTGTAGAGCCTTTATATCAACCCTTTCCATACAATTTATTAACATTGTTGGTTGGTGTTAGGAATCTATGCCTTTTCATATTTTCAAATAAGTGACCTGAAAGAAAGAGTGAATTTGCAAATGTCATGAAAGTGAGTACATGTAACAGCTCCAGGGTTCAAATAGTTGAAAAAGTGCAATATTATCATCTCCTTGCTGCTCCCAATTATTTTGAGCAGCAAGAACATGGCAATATTGCACTTTGCATGGAGATCATATTTTCAGCCACGATTAACATACTGAGCCATTGTGCTTGGCTCCTTCTGTGTAATTAAGTCAGTGACCATTAGACTGAGCCCACAACCAGTTTGCTGCCTAGAGTTTCCTATGAACAATTAGTTCCATTAAGAGTCATCCCAACAGTAGTATAGTGATGGCTTTGAGGCTTTGTGTTTCAGACTGCTAATGAAATGGCACTGCTGGCTTCCAGGAAGTACAGGAGATATTCATCTCAAAGGAAGCAGAAATCAAATCCACTAGAGTCTACAGGTTAACAAAGGGCTGAACAGAATGGGTGAATTTTACATTTGGGCACCAGTTCATAGGCACTGGGGAGAGGGGTCACTTATGACTCAGGTCTGGACTTCCAGCATTTAGAGAAGGAAGGTTATACCATCATGCAAAAAACAAACAAACAAACAAACAAACAAAACCATTATTTTTTCACCAGCTGTGTGCTGGTGAAAGAATGATCATCTCATTCTTTTTCCATTGAGTACCTTCACATCAATTGATTTTCACACATCAACTAGGGGAAAGATGACAGAGAAGATGTTACTAAAACTTATCATTGAATTTGAACACATTAGAAATAATGAGGTTTCATTAAAGAAAGCTGAGTTTAGGACAAGTTAGGCACATATGATGGTAGACTAGTGGGATAGTTTATACTAATTTACACAGATCACCATCCTCATTTGGGTGACACTAGTTTACAGACATTCACATACATTGTCTCATCTGTTAGCTCCACAGTGTAACATTCACTTAACTGTTGAGGAAGTGGATGCCACAAGAATTAGAGAAATTGCCTAAGAGATACAGCAGAAACAAAAATCTCTTCTCCTCTACCTACTTACTAGTTTTGTAAGTACTCGATTGCTTCAATAATGGACTTGATCGGTGTTCCTTGAGTGTTCAGCAGAATTCCACCTCTACTTGATGTTTATTGGATGATAAACAATAGTTTCTTGAGGATAAGAATTTGGCACATAATATCTTGCTCATTGCTGATTCTTACTAAATGTTTGATTAACTTAACCAAACTTTGGATTCGAATTGAATCACAGAATTACTGTAGCACTCAGGGTTTCTGATTAGTAACCCCAGAAGCTACCCATTTCTACATTACACTACCTTCCTGTGCCTTCCTTCCTTCCTTCTTTCTTTCTTTCTTTTGTTCAACAAATATTTATAAATGGTTATGACATGTCAGGCAATTTGCTGCACACTGGAAATAAGATGATGAGCAAAACAAAGTTCTAGCTCTCATGGAACTTACATTCTTGAGTGAGAGACAGACATTATTTCTATAAGAAAAATGGCAAGAAGTACAGATCATGGGCCTTCAAAGTGGTTTAAGACATCCTGTGAGGGAGGATTGAGTTTCTTTTCTAAAGAAGCAGCAATTGACATACCATTTGAGAGATGAATAGTAGTTATCTTATGAATCTTGGAATGATGGGAGGAGCCATTCTAAAAAGAGGGAACAGCATATATAAAGGGCCTATGGTTAGTGTGATGCATTGCACATTTGAGAAACTCAAAGAAAGTCAATGTGGTAGAGTACACAGAGCAAGAGAGAAAAATAAAATACATCGGGGGTAGTTATAGGCTATAGTCCTGTAGACGGTGATAGATTTTTTTAAAAAAATAGGAGGTGACTTGATCATACTTGAATATAAAAAATATCACTGTATATGGGAGCTCTATGTACTTTTTAATGTAATGTTTTATAAACCTAAAACTGCTCTAAAAATTAAGTCTATTAAAAATATCACTCTGGCTACAGTGTATGGAAGAGAAGAGAGTGAGGGAAGACTAGAGTCTGAAGACAAGCTAGTAGAATATTGCAGTGCTCCAGGACAAAGAGGACCAAGACTGAGTCCAAGGGCCCTCTGACATGACGAGGTAAGGGAGAAGAAGACTAACAAGTAATGGTGACTAAGAGACAGGGACAATAGAGTAGGATGAAAACTAAGAAAGTTAGTGTCCTAAAAGCCAAATGAAGAATGTGTACCCAGAAAAAAGGAGTAATCAACTGGGTCAAATGATTCTGATTGGGCAATTATTATGAGGATTAAAATGTAATCAATGGATAAAGAAAAATCAGCTGTCATCAATGTCATTAGTAAAAAAAAAATCTGGTGGAATGAGTGGACAAAAGTTGATTTGAACAAAGCTAGAACTTGGAATGAGTGTGGTATAGTTTTGTTGCAAAAAGAAGCAAAACACGTGAGGTGCTGGATGATGGGAGAAGTGTGGTTAAGAGATTATTATTTTTTTTATAAACTCAGAGAACTAATAGCATGATCGTATGTTCATATTTTTAAAACTTTAGTATGCATGAGATTCATTTGCTTTTTAAATGAAAACATTAATGTACTCACACCTGTAATCCTATGAGAATACACACAGGAGCCAAAATTACATAACAAGATAAAAACAGTACAATCAATAGATTACGGTTCCTGAAAAGGTGGGAGTGGAAGGAATTCAAAGACAGATGAAGAACTGGATTTAGGAAGGAAAAGGGGCAGTTTCTCTGTAGTAACAGATATAAGTAATTTTGTATACTTGGTATTAGGAAATTAGGGGAATATCCATTAAATTAAGTTGGCAGTAAGGCTATGTGTGGGAGACAGGATGATCGAAAATAAAATGCAAAATAAACCAACTACTTAAATAATAACTGATTTGCATCAGTTATAGCCAAAGTGGAATGAGTTACTTGTCTTTCAATCAAAGAACCCATTATGACAAATCACAGCCCAGAGATCAGAGCCAAATAGCCTCCAAGCACAGTTTTGTCATTATCTCCACTGTGATTCCGATAAGCAAGTGACACATCAGAAATAATGAGTCATGAGAAGGACAATGTGATTGCTGCTAAAAAAAAAAAAAAAAAAAAAAATTCCCTGAATTATGTCATGCCCCTGCACTAATTGTTTTCCAGAAGCCTTAATTGCCTGCCTTGACACCCCTTGCTCCTGTATATCCTAAATGACAAGTTGGTAATTCACTACAGAAAGCTTGGGCAACTGGATAAGATGTATCAAGTGCTCCCTTTGGCTTTCTGCCTCTGTCTAGATGCATAACAGTTGTATTTAAAGCATTGGTGTACCACTTTTAGAGAGAAGTTTGTCCTCAAATAAAATTAACCTTCACTTAAAAAGAAAAAAATACACAAATAAAGACAATAACAACAGCACTAAGGCTAGATGTCCAATGTATTTCCTTTGGGCAAAGTGATAAAAACAAAACAAAACAAAACACTAAGAGTAAAATTGAAGAGAGTTTTAAATCCAAGGTCAATTTTCAGGAAAAATAGCTAGATATACAATATTTGTTCTTCCCCTGGGCAGCCCTCATTTTTATTTCCTGTGTTTTTAGTTAATGCTTTGGTTGCTAAATCTCTCAGCTTTTTTAATATTTGTGGCAGGAATAAGTAGAGTTCTGGATTATAGTGTGGTGAACATATAGCAAGGTCTGGATTTCTGCTTCTTTCTTTGAGGAGTAGGGTGGAGCTCAAACAGTCAGTCAGAAACATGAGGGAAAGTTTGTCCCCTAAAATAGAGAAGCCTTTAGAAGAACAGTTAAGTCTCATTTCCTTTTTAATTCTGATATGGGCTTACTTGTGTTTCCCCAAAATACATACAAGGAACTTCAAACCCCCAATACCTCAGAATGTGACCCCATTTGGAGACAGGGTCTTTAAAGAGGTAATTAATTTAAAATGAGGTGATGAGGGTGGCCCTAATCCTATGCAACTGATGTCCTTATAAGAAGAAGAAATTAGGACACAGAAGGGCACTGAGGGAAGACCCTGTGAAGACACAGGGAGAAGGAGATGAACCAAGGAGAGAGCCCTCAGAAGAAACCAACCCAGCTGACACCTTGATCTTGAACTTCTAGCCTCCAGAATCCTGAGAAAATACATTTCTGTTGCTTATGTCACCCAGTTTGTAGTACTTGTTATGGAAGCCCTAGAAAGCCAAAAAATACACTAAAGATTCTTTCTACTCACTCCCCTTTCTTGTGAAAGGCACAGAAAATGTTATTTTAAAAACAGTGCTAATCAAGCACAAGTTCATAGAAAAACTTTCTATATGGGACCAGAGAGTCCTTAAACCAGTGCCCCTTCATAATAACAGTTTAGGGACTGTCCTACCAAGTTGGTGAGGCCTGGGCCCAGCGTGGTGGCTCACGCCTGTAATCCCAGCACTTTGGGAGGCCGAGGCAGGTGGATCATGAGGTCAGGAGATCGAGACCATCCTGACTAACACAGTGAAACCCTGTCTCTGCTAAAAATACAAAAAATTAGCCAAGTGTGGTGGTGGGCGCCTGTAGTCCCAGCTACTCGGGAAGCTGAGGCAGGAGAAAGGTGTGAACCCGGGAGGCAGAGCTTGCAATGAGCTGAGATCGTGCCACTGCATTCCAGCCTGGGTGACAGAGCGAAACTCCATCTCAAAAAAAAAAAAAAAAAAAAAGTTGGTGAGGCCTATAAGATCTATAGCTGGTTGATGCAATTTGAATGTAATATAGAAGTTTGAGGTCGGGCGCGGTGGCTCACGCCTGTAATTCCAGCACTTTGGGAGGCCGAGGCAGGTGCATCATCTGAGGTTGGGAGTTCGAGACCAACCTGATCAACATGGAGAAAAATAAATACTAAAAAAAAAAAAATACAAAATTAGCCAGGCTTGGTGGCACATGCCTGTAATCCCAGCTACTCAGGAGGCTGAGGTAGGAGAATCGCTTGAACCCGGGAGGTGGAGGTTGCAGTGAGCTGAGATCACACCATTGCACTCCAGCCTGGGCAACAAGAGCGAAACTCTGTCTCAAAAAAAAAAAAAAAAGAAGTTTGAATTTTTGTTTATTAATCCTATGTTTGAAATATAAATATTTGATTAGCATGGGCTAAATGAACCCACAAATGAATAGGCAAATAAAGATAAGGTCCATTTTAAAGCCAGGAAGCCTGACAGTCCTAGGGATGCATTATTGGGCTGCAGATGGTCCTTAGGGTTTTATCTTTTGAAACATTCAGGACCACTTCATCTCAGTTTTCTATTAAAAAAGAAAAGAAAAAGCCTTCCTTGGTTCCCTGAGAGTTGGCACAGGTCTCAGTGATATGCCAGTGCTCTCCTGGCTACAAGCTTATCTCTCACTCTTAATTATCAGCAGCTGTTCTGCTGCACACTCATTTTCCTTTTCCTCATCTGTTTCTTTTCCTTTGAAGTATGATTCCCCTTTCTCATTCTGACATCGTTTCTAACCTATTGGTTTTTCTCTCCACTGGCCATCAAGTCACCCAAACACACTCTTTCTGTGGCTCAAAGAAGCCCTACCATAGACAAAGACCTGCCTGGACAAACTCTATTTGTAATAACAGCAGCTGACATTTGTTTAGTACTTTGCTATTTTCATAGCTTGATTAGATTGAAAGCCCTTTTCAATTATTGGATAAAAGAAGCAGGTGAACACAAATGGCCTGAGAATGCATAATTAAAACCATATCACAAAGAACAATGGGAAAGATCACATTTATTTCAGCAAATAACTTCTTTGTAAATAGCTTCTGTTTTCAAAGTAATAAAAGACACTATTGGTGTATTAATGAAGGACTCAAGAATGAGGAGAGTACTACTTTCTTTTATTAAAAAACATTGACACATAATAATTGTACATATTTATGGGGTACTTAGTGATGTTGTGAAATATATATAATGTATAGTGAGTAATCAGGATAATTTGCATATCCACCATCTCAAATATTTATCATTTCTTTGTGTTTGGAACATTCAATATCCTCCATCTAGCTATTTGACATGATAATATATTAACGCAAACTATAGTCACCCTACAGTAGTATAGAACACTAGAACTTTTTCCTCCTATCTAGCTATAATGTTGTCTACTTTTAAAATCGTGTAGAGTCTGAGAAGTTAATGAACTTCTCTAGGATCCAGTCTCAGGAGGCACTGGGAAAAAGGTCAATAATCAAGTTAAATAACTCAGACCTAGACAACTCTAACTTTGACTAATCCAATGTGATCAATCCATAGATGATAAAACTGCAGTCTTGTTTATTCATTAATTCAACAAACATGCATTAAGCATACACTACATGACAGCACTCTGCTAGGCAGTAGGGATAGAAGGTGTCTCTTCTCAAGAGCTTCCAATCTAATAGGGAAGGAAGAGAACACAGACAATGCAAGGACTGTGAGTATGGAGGAGAAAGGAATGAAATGCAGAGTATACTGACTCTTAAACCTATAACCCCATTTCTTCTTGTCATCCTTGTTTCTCTTAAGTCTCAGATATTTGGCCTCAGTGTAGTGTAGATAATAAACCTATCCATATTCTTATTGGTATAAGAAGGTGGTTTTGTGGGCGCAGATGGGTGTGAATCCTGGCTTTACCACTTATTAAAAATGTGAATTTGTACCACCGTTTTGCATACATACACATATACATATATGTATATATACACACACACACATGCCCAGTCTCTCTCTCTGTGTGTGTGTGTGTGTGTGTGTGTGTGTGTGTGTGTGTGTGCAGTTATATTAAATGAGTCATTGTATATAATGCCTGACATATATCAGTACAGGGCCTGACACATATTTCAGTAAATATTAAATATTAATATTATGGGAACATTTCTCATACTGATGGTAAAAGAAAACTGGTGGGTTTGGGGCAGGGAGATGTTAATAAATGGGTGGTAAGGGAAACAAACTACCCCTCTAAGAAGATAAGCTTGTTTGTTTGTTTTACTTACAAATAATGTATTGTTATTTTCTGTGAGATACTTAGAGCTTTAAGATACTAATGCAAGCTGGGTGTGGTGGCTCACGCCTATAATCCCAGCACTTTGGGAGGCTGAGGGAGGAGGACTGCTTGTACTCAGGGATTTGAGACCAGCCTGGGCAACATAGTGAGACCTCATCTCTACAAAAACAAAAAAATTAGCTGAGCATGGTGGTGTGAACTTGTGGTTCCAGCTACTACTCGGGAGGCTGAGGCAGGAGGATCACTTGAGCCCAAGAGGTTGAGGCGGCAGTGAGCCGTGATTGCACCACTGTGCTCCAGCCTGGGTGACAGAGTGAGACCCTGTCTCAAAAAACAAAACAAAAAACAGCTAATGTACATCATATAAAGGAAAGCTTAGAAGACACTTCAAGCTTATTTGATCTTGCCAGAGTTGCTTCAATCTCAGAATATTTGTAAATAACTCCCTGAATTTGTGTGGACTGAATAAAATATGGGACATGTTTTTCATGCTAGGCACATCCCATCTCCTATTAATGGTATTCATAAAGTCACATAAGAGATTTCAGTTCTGGTCAGAATCTAGAATTCCAAATGAACTGAGATGGTGTTTAAAAGAGATTTCAGTTTGGTCACTAACACTTTTAAAGTTCAATGTGATTTAAAGCATAGATATTATTCAGAGATGGAACTTCTAAATAAAAATATTGGCAAATAGTTCCTGAATCATGATTTTGAGGCAATGGATAATGCCATGGCCTGGGGAGACAGGCTGTCTCAGAGTTCTAATTCTGGCTCTGGTGGCACCAGTGGGGATTAGTGATTTATATCAGTATTTCATCTTCCTTTTCATAGGTTTGCTTTTTTTATCTAGCCCAGGGGTCAGCAAACTATGCCCACGGGCCAAATCTGGTTCACTGTTTATTTTTTACATTTTTAAGTGGTTGGAAAAAAATAAAGAATAATATTTCTGATATTTGAGAAGTATATAAAATTCACATTTCAGTGACCATAAGTAAATTTTATTGACATACAGCCACATCCATTTGTTTTCGCTACCATGGCAGAGTTGAACAACTGTAGTGGAAACCTTATGGTCACAAAATCCTAAAATATTTACTCCTGGATCTTTCCAGAAAAGGTTTGCTGGCCCCTGGTCTAGCGAATAGTGATGGTGACTGGATCAATATGTCTACCAACACTGTGAGAGGACACTCACTCCTCATAGGGACACTTCACAGGAGGATCGTATGATCATGCTGTCCATCAGTTCGTAAATGCCCCAAATGTATGTTGGTTGAAATGACATTAGCCAGAATTCCAAAGGATTAAAAACATTTTTAAAACGTTCTTTGTACCATGTTAATAGCTTCTTTCAAGTGTATATTTTAATGTATTTTAAGTAGGAAGGGAATTTTGAAACAAAAATCTCAAACACTTTCTTTAAGAACACATAGTAGTTAATACATGCTGCTTTCACCAATGCATTTATTTAGTTCATGTAGAGCTACTTGTGTATATAGAATTATGTTTTCATACCGTAAGCAACTCCTACTCACATTCTCTAAATGATTTGCACATATTAAATCTAAGCAAAAAAAAAATACAAGCTTCACGGCTGCCTACAGACTTAGGCAGACAAAAAAAGAGATTGTCACAGCTGCTTTGGGGTAACAAATATAATTGCATGGATTTTAACTTACAGAATTAACACAAAAAAGAAAAAAAGTTAAGATAAGGGAGTGTTGTAAAATTAAATGCCTAAGCAGCATATTTAACTGGTGATCAAGAAAGTGACTAAACTTGATGCTAAAACACAATTAAAACATTCCTACATTTTCATATAAAATATATGTCAAATATTGGCTTACATTTTCAAATGACAGCAAGTTAATGTAGCCAATGACGTTATTTATTCAACCCAGAAGGAGTCACAAATGCAGACATGTATGGTAAACTTTTATTGCTGTTGTTACATTATTATCCCAAAAACTCAAAAATTGGCCAAACTTTTTTCTTTCCCAGAGACACCCATGAATCTATCTCATAACTATTTATTTCTCAGCTGGCCTATTATGTAACACAGCTGCAGTAACCATCTAAGTAGGTTGAAGTTTTACTAAATTAAAAATTTTACAGCCTCCAGACCCATGAAATGTTCCATCCAGGAAAAGTTCTTCTGTAAATGTGCAAAATAGGTCTGTGGAGTTACACAATCATAGAAACAGGAGAAAGAACAACTGAATCAGAGAGGTAAAAGTCTAAAACTGATTGGTATAACAGATAATTACAAATAACAGTTTATGCACACATGTACATAGATAAAATAGATAAATGCATAGGAACATAGACAGATTAGCTAAAATAGAGATAAAGAGTGAGAGAGAGGTGAGAGAGAGAGAGATAATAAAGTCTTTGGTTCCCAATATAAACTATTATTCTTAAACTACAGTCAATGATTGCATTTTAGGGAATCTCTGAAGTCCTCAAAAGTATGTGCAATTTTGGTAGGTATTTGCCTTTTTTTTTTTTTTTTTTTTTGGCAAAAGGATCAATGCATTTATTAGATTCTTTAGGCACCCATGTCCTCTAACTTTTCACCTATCTCCTAAGAAATCCTTCTGGAAAAAATAATTAGAATGGAAACTTTTTAAAATTTGAAATGTACAAAAGTAACATGTAATTGTCTGAGGGTATTGGAAATAATTAGTATAGTTGTGGCTAAAGGTAGGATAAATAACATCTTTTTTTTTTTTGAAGGCCTAATTTTGTTTCCAGGCAGATAAAAATCACTTTAGATTATCCTTCAAAATTTATCTTATTTTTTTCCATGGCTACTTTTCATTCCTCATCCCCTTGTCTTTTGTGTTCACCTCTTCTTTTCTTTCCCTGGAGGAAGGAAGAGGAAAGAACACCTCCTACTTTTAGTTAATATTGATTTTAGGCACTGGGTCAGATGGGCCTTTTAGGGTCTGGAATATTGACAATTGCCCTTGAAAGCCATGAAGAATCTTTGCTTGGTGGATGGACTGAGTCCCAGCATATGATTAATATCAGGTGTGTTGGTTGGTGGTTAGACAGTGAGTGATAGCTTGGCCAGTATGTGAAGGGAGTTTGTGAAGAAGCTGAGAACAATTTCAGCAATGTATACTCGGTAATGAAAGAGAATTGGATCCCAGAGCGTTGACAGTTGTCTATAAGAAAGCACTCCATCCGTAGAATCCACCTTTGTTACCTTTATTCATAATAAGGAAGATCACTGCTGGAAAATGTCTGTTTCTCCCCACTTTTTCATGATGGGATTGTTGTAGCCTTAGAACATGCTTTCAAAAGAACTGTAAGTGGGCATCTCTATCTAGTGCCTATTTGTATTATATATTGTATTATAAATAGGTGCTAAAAAACAAAAATGCCTACTCTTATCAAGTGCCAAAATTCTCATTCTTAATGAATGAGTCTGGAAAGATACCAGTGTATCCATTCCAGTTCAAAAAATAACTTCACATGCTCATATTTCAGAAAATAGGCTCCAGGCCTTTTTTACTTTATTTTTTGAGATGGAGTCTCACTCTGTCACCCAGGCTGGAGTGCAATGGTGAGATCTCTGCTCACCACAACCTCCGCCTCCTGGGTTCAAGGGATTCTCCTGCCTCAGCCTCCTGAGTAGCTGGGATTATAGGCGCCCACCAACACGCCCAGCTAATTTTGTGTTTTAATATTCTATTGAAACGGGGTTTCTCCATGTTGGTCAGGCTGGTCTCCAAGTCCCAACCTCAGGATCCCCCCACCTTGGATCCAAGCCCCAACCTCAGGATCACCTCAGGTGATACCCCTACCTCGGCCTCCCAAAATTTTGGGATTACAGGCGTGAGCCACAGCGCCTGGCCCAGTGTTAGCTTTTTAACCTGGATCAAATTACTTCTCTGTGCCTCAGATCTGTCGTTTGCAGAATAAAGATAATGACATTGCTTGCCTCATAGAGTTGTAGTAAGGATTAAATAAAGCGATACGTGCAAACAGCCTGGAACATTGCCTGGAATACAGATGTCTAGATACTGATAAGGCTACAGACATTATAACGGATACTGTAGTACTCTCTCTAGATCCCAAAGACTGGTATATTGGTTGCTGAAGGCACAAAGAGATTCTCATGGGAATTGTTCTACAACGCAGCAGGAACAGCTTCACCCAAGTTTATCTGTCTTCCTGCTCCCAATCAATGACTAGTTAGCAAGAGGAAACAAAGCCCCAGCCCCTCAGTTTGAAGCAAACTTGAGAGGGATCACCGCCTCAGGGGACCCCACTGGATCAGCTAAGACTTCAGTTGCTACAGCGTTGCAGGGCAGGTGTTCCTGTCGCATCCTGCTTTCCTCACTTTCTTGCAGAAAAAATATCTTCGGAGAACCTTTCCCATGACAATCTAATGTCATTCTCCATCAGCGTGTTTCCTGGAATCCAATCTAAGATTATAGATAGATGTAAATAAAACGTTTTATCCCCATTATCCAGGAACTGCAGCTAAGGTCCACCCCCCACCCCCCAAAAGAGGCTAAAACTCCACATTCTAAGCTGAAAAGACCGATGGAAATTGCACCTAGCCACTTCTCTGCCAGGTTTACTGAGAGAAAGCATTGCACTTCTGAGAACCCAAATGGCCCTGACTGTTTTGAGGGGGAAACTAGAAAAGAGGAAGTGCTACTTGGAGGAAGCAGTTTTCAAAATCAGCACTGGTTTTTGAGGGGGAGGACTAGGAATTCTCCCAACTATCAGAACAAGAGTATTGCTGGTAAATTTTGATGTGTGTTAGAACAGTGACTCACTCCTTCTCTAAGTCAGGGACTCATGATGGCCTCTGAAGCTTGGCAAGCCACTGACCTTGCTGGGCACTGAAGCTGATAACCCCTGGAGAAAGTGACAAGCCAAAGGAGGCAGCAACAGTGGAACAGCCTGCATTTCCCTTACGTTGCAGGCCAGGGTACATGAGTTTCCTAGTTGCTGAATAAACACAAAGCAAGCAGCTGGCCTTTGAGGCCTTTCGCTGTATCCCATCCAACAGGACTATCCCAATGCTGGGAGAATACTAGCATGTGAAGTGGATTTCTAATTCCAGAGACCCTGAAAAATCCACAAATGCATCTGTGAAAGATTCAGCCTTTAGAGAGGAAAGTCTGTAACGACCAGTCAGTGTGAAGGGGCTATGCCCCAGCAGTATCATCTGTGTAGGAAGATCTCTACCTTCTTCCATCCGTCTCTTGGTCTCATCATCAGAAAGGAAGGCAGAAAAGTAGGAAAGGAAACATGTAAGGAGTTTCTCTTCACTTTTGCCACTAGAGTGACAAAGAGGTCTTTGCGGGAACAGGGGAGAAAAGGTCCTATGCAACAGGAAATAGTTCAACATAGCAGAGTGGGGGCAGTTTCATATGACTGAGATTCTTCCATAAGCCTGGTAAATATATGCACTTCAAGAAATATTTGTTTAGCACCATATGTTATACTGTGCTATTTCCAGGTGTTAGGTATACAGTAAAAAGCAAGAAAGATGTGGTTTCTAAATATATGGAGATACATATAGTCCTCCTTTGTCTTGTTTTGCCTATTTCTTGTCTGTTTCTTTGTCATTTTATTTTTTTCTCTGAGAAACTTCTTTCCTAAGAAAGCTAAGGCATCATTATTCCAATAACTACTCTTTATTTTTTTAAAACATTTCAAGGAAAATTCAACTAGAACACATTTAGAGAAGCAGAAACCAACTGCATGTTCTTTCTTCAAGAACTGTTCATTAAAGATTTGCCAATCTTTCTTTCTCAACCACATTTCCCAAAAGCTTGGACTTTGGCCATAATAGTTCACTTCAGTCTAAAATTTGGCATGTCTGAAAGAGAAGACTTCAAATTTGCCAATTTGGCTGATATCCCTTTGAATAACAAGTAGAGAAATAGGAAAAATTTGGAGCGAAAAATCTATAACTCATGGCATTATTCAGAGAGATAATTCATTTCATAGGATAATGAATCTATAGGAAATCAACCCTAAAACATGGTAGATTTATTTTCAGATAGGTTTTTACAAAAGCCTAAAATATGCATACAAATATAATTTGTAAACAAATATAAATAAGTAATACACAAAGACCTGAGACGCTCAATTTTATTGAAAATTCTTGTTTTTTTAATATGATTTTCCTTGGTTTCATGGGATATTTCAGCATAAAGCAAAAGCAAAAATAAAACAAAATAAAAATTCCTATATATATATATATATATATATATATATATATATATACACACATGGAAAAATTATAAGGACATACAGTGCACATATGGATAAACTGTATTCGTAACACACACACAAATGTGTACGTATGCATATAGTGCTAAAATATATGGCAAAGAGCTTGCTAGAGGCTTTTGTTAGTTTTGTTGGAAATCATTATGGGCAGATGAAATTAAAATATGTAATCCTCTCCTACTCACTCATAAACTCTGGAGAGTTAGGCTTGAGTTAGCTATCCGTAAAGATAGACACTTGTTGGGTTTGTAAGCATCATCTTTATGATAGATTTTCAGAAGTGGCAATTGAAAGAATTTTATAGAGAAAGCCAATCTAGAATAAATATGCTTTATGAGGATCTGCTGCCAGGTAGGCCCACGGCCTGCCGAGGGTTCTATACACATTACCAACCACATTTCTGCAATCCTTGCTGCCTCCTATGCATTCTGACAAATAAAAACACTCTGTTGTAACATCCCAAATTATCATGTTAAACAATTACACCATTGAAAAAATTGAAAAATATTATCTTGTCATTCCCATTTGCAAAGATAAAGTAATTGTTATGTTATCCCTAAATAACCCCAATAATGCAAATATTGATGAAAATAACCTGATACAGATCCCACATTATCACAGAAGTACAAAAGCATTTGCCTAGAAATGCCATCCTGATGTCAAGGGCACACCAGTAAAGCCCCAGTGACCAGGATGAATGACACAGACACTGGATTCTCAATGTAGTGCTTTGTCTTTCCAGCTCTGTCTTCAAAGATACATTTGGAACACTTCTCTTCACACTCCGTAAGATGATTTAGAATTATAAAACCTAATTTAGCAGCTATTACATACTGTATTAATAATTCAGGAAGCATCTTTTCAAATGATCTACTCACATACTATATTTAAGTCCATAATTACAGAAGCAAGCTTGAATTTCCTATAAATTTGTTTGAAAGGACAACCTTCATATTCCATATTACACAGTCTTAAACTTCTTAGGCTTTGTTCATCAAAAGCCATTATGTCATACGCACTGCATGTGAAACAGATGATTTAGAATAGCAATGTTGGAGAAGAGGTTTTATCTGTTACTTCCTGGTCTTGAAGACATGGCTCTCTCTAAAACAGTATTGAAAATATCCGTCTATATTACTTGAGAACTTCTTCACCAAAAGATGAAACCTCCTTGCAGCTAGCAGACTGAATGGAAAAGTAGACCTCTAGCATTATTGGAGATAAAGAGTCAACCATCAGTTCAATACCACGCTGATTTAAAAGCCAACATGCGCTATTGTCTGAGAATAAATCGGAAAAGACATTTCCTCTACTGATACTTCAAAGACTTTGTAACATCTGGAATCTGGTTCTATACAGGGTATTCCACTAAGAAGTAAGAATAAAAGGATTTTAATAAGGCAAATAAGATTCAGGTTTCTTAAAATATGTTCTCCCTGGAGGGAAACAAATAACACATTGCATCTGACTAACCTTTCTGCACTTCAGCTGCATTAATTCACATTTAGTCATGGATTCCATCATGAGCCAGATGAACTTAGTGCCACAGCTGTTTTCATCGAGGGGAAAATATGCTTTTCCATTTTAGATTCCCAGCATTTAATATAAATATAGGAAAAATACATTTTATTGACTGCATTATTGATAAGAACTCCACATTACTTACCCAAATAAATTCACATCCACCCTAGACTGTGATCAAATCAATATCAATATTACACAAACGGTCAACCGGAGCCAGATTCCTACCTCCCTTTTTCTTACATTGAGGGATAAGGAAAAGTTGAAGAATTGATCAAAGAGGTAGACAACATGGCCTTGGAGGAATTGTTGCTGGGTTAGTCAAAGACTTTAGTGGAGATCAGGTTCACTAAGAGGAATGAATACAGATGACTAGGAAAAACGAAAGGATGTTTCAAAAGTTTAACTGAGGGATTTGATGTCTTGGCAGAGCTGTCCTCAGCTCTACCAGCAAAACATGTGGAAGTGGTTGGTTGGGAGCAAAGCTGAGGTACAGAACTGTAATACTTGGTCAGTATTACAAGTATTAAGTAGTAAGAGTTGTTTTTTTTTGTTTGTTTGTTTTTTGTTTTTTTTTTTGTTTTTTGCAAAACCTCCTTGAAGATACAATTTTGTGAGGAAATATGTCAGTGATTCCACTGGGCAAAGCATTCAACCTATAACCCCTTGTCAAATTTCACATCACAAGAGCGCTGTAAAATCAAATTCATCTCCAATAGTCCTGAACAAATACTGTATCATGACTTGTGGTCAACTATGGAGTCTCATGGACAAATGAAAATCCAGTAGTTATGTGGTCAGAGTATGTGTGTGTGAGTGCATTCATTTGTACTAGTATATAAACCTGCAGTCATTATCTGCGTCAACACTAACCAAGCCTCAAATTAAGGTTCTCAGTCATGATTCAAAAAAGAATGAAACCTGTCTGACCCATCTTCACCTTTACCAACACAGGATGACAATAATTTAATCAGACTAGGAAAATATCTTACCTGGAACTACTTCAAAAAGGAACTTCCCTGGGTTCTCTTCATTGCAGGGATGCTCAGAAACTTTATTTCCAGGCAGAAAAATAGTACCCTGTGAAAACAAATACCCAAAACATCAACATCATCAGAGAGCAAACATCATATATCATCATTATAATCAGTGAATATCCAAGGTGTAGCTATAACCCAGTATACAGTAAGATGCATCAGAATCTTTTATATTCCCAATAATCAAAAATTATGTGCCAGAATCATGTTCACTCAAGATTTAACGAATACTTGTTGAGCATCTAATATGTATAAGACTAATATGTATGTTAGCTGCTAGATTCATCTTAAGCACCAATTTATTAAACACATTCTGTGTGCCAGAAATTTTACTAAGCATTCTACCCGCACCATATTATTTAATTGGTAGTATAATCTTATGAGGTAGATATTCTTTTCCCCATTTTATAGCTGTGAAAACAAGGTAGACTTAGACATAGTTGTGATAAGCCTTCTCTTGATTATCTCTTCTCTCTTCTCTTTCTTTCCTTTTCTTTCTTTTCCTTTTCTTTTTTTTTTTTGTTTGTTTTTTGAGATGGAGTTTTGCTCTTGTCACCCAGGTGGGATTGTAATGGCATGATCTTGGCTCGCTGCAACCTCTGCCTTCCGGGTTCAAGAATTCCACTGCCTCAGCCTCCTGAGTAGCTGGGATTACAGGCATCTGCCAGCACACCCGGCCAATTTTTGTATTTTCAGTAGAGATGGGGTTTCACCATGTTGGCCAGGCTAGTCTCGAACTCCTGACCTTAGGTGATCCACCTGCCTCGGCTTCCCAAAATGCTGGGATTACAGGCATGAGCCACCACGCCCAGCTATCCTTTCTCTATCTTTAAATTTCTCTCTTTAGTGGATCATTTCATTCAGTGCTGAGATATACTTAAAAGTCTGTGTCATTAAAAAAAGTACTTTGACTTCCCGCTATTCTATTTTTTTGTTTGCCTACTGTCTATACTGAATCTATTTCTTCACTGTACCCACTGCAGCCTGGTTGATGCACCCAGCATTCCACTTACATGACTCACAAGCTGCGTGTTTGATAATGTTCACTTTTCAGTGACTTGACTTTCTAGAAGTGTTCATCACTATTGACCACTCTTTCCTTGAAGCACCTTCTTTCCTTTGTTTCTTTGTTTTCTCTAGGTTTTTCCCTAATTTCTCTGTTGTCTGAATGTCTTTTGCTGACTCTAATTGACCTTTAAATATTAGAGTTTTTAAAAAGATTTATCCAATAATTTCTTCTCTTCTGACTCTAGTACTCTCTTTCTCCAGGCTATCTCATCCAGGCCTATGATTTCAATAACCAACTGTAAGCCAATGAATATCGGAGTAATATTTCTAATCTAGGACACTCTGAGCTTCAGATACATTCAAAAGCTTATTTGACATTTCCACTTATCTCAAAGATGTCTTAAACTCAACTTAGTCAAATTAAAATGCAAGTAAATCTGGCTCTCATTATGTATTCCCCAGCTCAGTGACTGTCACCCTCTTCTATGCAGTTGCAAAAGCCAGAAATATAGAAATCATTATCTCTACTATGTATCTCTACTACTACCACTCTCTAATTTCAGGCAACTATTATCTCTTGTCTGAAATTTTTCAAATGCCTCTTCACTGAATTCTCCAGAATATTCTGACATCTTTCTTTTATTATTATTATTATTATTATACTTTAAGTTCTAGGGTACATGTGCACAACGTGCAGGTTTGTTACATATGTATACATGTGCCATGTTGGTGTGCTGCACCCATTAACTTGTCATTTACATTAGGTATATCTCCTAATGCTATCCCTCCCCCATCCCCCCACCCCACAACAGGCCCCGGTGGGTGATGTCCCCCTTCCTGTGTCCAAGTGTTCTCACTGTTCAATTCCCAGCTATGAGTGAGAACATGCGATGTTTGGTTTTTTTGTTTCTGCTCTTACACTTTTTTGCTTTCTATGGCTTTCTATCATCCAGCAACTACCCTTCTATAAATGGCAGCATGCTCCCATCTACCTTAGGACAACATTCTTTCCCTGGCAATTTTATACCATTTTTAAGATTGTCTACATCTAAAATATACTTGCATAGATTCTTGAATTTTTCCTGGACTGATTTACCATTGTATGTAGTTATGTTATTTGTAAGATGAATTGATTAAAGTCCATCTCCCTCGTTAAACTGTAAGGGAAAAATAATATGTGTTTTGCTCCCTAATTTACTACCAATGCCAAGCATTTTGCCTGGCATATAGTTAACGGCTAAAAATGTGTATTGTTGAGTGAATGGGAACTGTTAACATAATGAAGCCAGTGTTAAAAACTAAGTGTGCTGAACTCAAAAGCCCATGCTCCTGTCCACTGTATTATATTGTCCATTTTTCCCAGCTCAAAAAATAGTAATATTTAGCTAAAGTAGTATTTTACTCAATTTTCAACCTACTTGGTTTGGCACAGAAAATTATAGTCCTCAGCCATTTCCCTCCTTCTGGGCTTAGACTGATAAAGCATAGCGCTCTCCAACCAAAACCCAAGAAATTGTATGTTAGAAGTATTCCTCTCCCCCCATGCCTTACAAGGTGAGGTGTTGGAGGAATTGCCTTTGTTCTCCTCCTCCAGGAAGTACCTTTTCCTGCTTTTTATCATATCTAGTTTTCTCTGGCCTATAGATCCCGTTTCCCATTTTGTTTCCCTACCTTTGAAGTAATTTTTAAAAAATTGCTAGATACTTTGAAGATACTCATTGTAATAAAGACCTTTTATTACATACATTTAATCTATATGGTTTCTACATAATGTGGTAAAAATAATTGTTTCAATTAAGAATTTATTCTACTTACTGAAATGACTTTGTGAAGTAATTCATTTTGTGATTTATCTCAGTTTTAGAACATAGCATCTAATATTCATTTTATCCACATGTGTATTTGTGTGTGTATGTATAACTCCTGTTTAGTTCTATATCTTCAGGTTCTACTTAAGATCTTGAATTGTACATGTGCCATATAAGTTGAATTCAAGCAACGCACTAGCATAAATGCTACCTCCTTGAAATCTTAAGCTATCACATTTTGTAATTTAAAAACTCCAAGTAATGCTATCCTTTGTTGTCCTTTTTGTATATGTGAAACAGCTACTTCTGGATGAAATTTTTATTAACATTTTCTTATTTGACATTATATAAATTTTATATTTTGACAAGTTTTTCAAACAAATTGTAACATAAAAATAGTAGTTTAAATATCAACAGACAAGGCTTAGGGCAGGATATGCTGTAATTGACAAACATTTACTGTGGTTAATTTACTAAGTCATTCAGTAAATAAAATAAAGTCCTTTAACTGAAATAGCTAACTTGATCACATTGTATGGAAATTCTGTAAAGTCCATAACTAAGGGAAATGTCTTAATTGTGATAGTTATTTTCAAAGTGTTTAGCAATATTTATAGTGTTGAAAATGCAGGTAAACAAACAAAAATCTCTAATTTACCCACTACAGATAACCAATGTTAACACCATATAAATTCTCCCATACTTTTACGTGTTTATACATGTGTGTATAAACATACAGAGCAATTTTCACAAAACAGTAATCAAAATAAAAAGATATTTATTATCTGCTTCAAAACTTAAAAGTCATGTATTGTTGTTATGCCAAGTGTAGTCATCTACATCATTTTTAAAAGCTGAATTATATAGTACTTGCTTGAGTATACATACTTTAACATCCTCTACTGCTGTAATACATTTATAATTTTTGTCTTATAAGGAACATTTTATGTTGTAAAGAACATGAAGAACATCCATGAAGCTAAGTCTTTGAGCTTCTCCCTAATGTATTCCTTTAGGGCAAATACCTAAGAGATAAATTAGTCATTAAAAAGTATGCACTGCTTGTTTGTGTGAGTTGGTTAATTCTTCCACAGCTGCTCTAAATTAACCAAAGAAGCAACGAACTAATAAATAAGTACAAGTCAGGTGCCCAATCTAACTCGAAAGTAATATGTTGACAGACTACCATGTGTCAGATATTATTTCTTTAAATATCTCAGGTGATGTGAAGTGTGTGAAAGAAATAAATAATAAACTCTTTGCTCTCAGTACAAGAATAACACAGTACATAATTTTAAAACAAATGAGTGTGACAGTATTTAGAAAATCAAGTAAATATAATAAAAGTTTAAGAACAGAGTGTCATAAGGGCAGGCTGATTAGTTAGGAAAAGTATATAAAGGAAATGGTTTTAAGAGGAAGGTAGGGTTTTAAGATTTAGTGGCCAAGGGCTAATCTTTCAAAGTGGAGGAAATAACATCAACCAAAGCAGAAATTAGAACCATATGTGCAGAGTACATTACAATAAGCAAAAGACCCATGTGGAGGAATAATTAGGAAGTGAAGATTGTTGGTTACATGTGCTGAGAATGTGTTGTAGAAATTCTAAGCCTAGGCAGAGGATGTTACACTTGGTATCTGTAGCAGCTGAGAGCCAGGGTAGGTTCTTGCGCAAAGCAGATGGAGATTTAATGATACCACACTCTTAAAAGTTTGTTATCATAAAGCAATTAATTTGATATAAGAGGGTAAGGTCAAGAAACGTGTTGGCAGTAGAAATGGTATACATTTGCATTACAGATGCATTATTATATATTGTTAAGAAACATGTACAGAAACTAGTCATAGCTTAAACAGGAAACAAAGAAGGAAGAGTAAAAGATGACTTCAATTTTTCTCTATATCTAGAAGAGTATTTCCCCTGTTAGAAATGGGAATTAGGAAGATTTAAGCTCCATAAGGCCCATCCCCATGCACTTGAGCCAAAACCATGTGATATTTTAAAATTCTCTCTTAGTAAATACGATAGATATTCTCTGTTTGTTCCCCCAGATATTCTCTCCACTCCTCACTCTATTCCATACTCTAAGAGATTAATCTCTATAAATTCCATAAACCAAGCTCTCTTGATCTCTGGCTTCAGGTTAGGTTAGAGAGGCTACTTCGGGATGTCAGAAGAGCACAAGAGAGACAGGTCAAGATATTTATTCACCTGTTTCCTTCCATGCTAGCTGCAACATGGTCCTACTTGTATTGGGCTAAATCTTAAAGTCACCGGCTTCCCCAAATTCCAGTAGAGCTAAGAGTGGTCAGGGGTTCCTCTCTGTTTTTCACCCAGGGGTGTTTTACCTATCCACTGGTTTTCATTAACCTTTCTAACACTTGGTAAATTTTTTTTTTAATCACACACTGTTCAATTATCCCTTTTGTGACAAAGCTATCAATTACTTGCTGGAATACTGAGTGACAAAAGAACCAGGGTGCAAGTGTCTTGAGTTTTCTAAGTAAGTGCATGTTATCCCTTGATGTTCAGTATGCCTCATGGCAAACTTTGGATGATCAGAGAGAAGAGGCTCAAGTACAACAAGGAAATGGAACCTTTTTGATAAGAGTTCAGCACATATGGCAATAATTTCATGACAATAATTAACCAGCACATTCAAAATGGGATTATACGTATTTTTATTCCTGATAAGAAATATTCCTTTTATGAAGAATCTTTAAAACTTCAAAATGAAATATGATAAACAAAATCTTTTATAGTTTGACAGCTAAGAGTTGGCAAAAGCGACACAATTTGTAACCACACTAGTAGTTTGCTGTCAGCTAAAATTACTATTAAAAAGAAAGCTCATATCTAGTTAATACCAGATCACTGAGCCAAAACCACAAGAGATTGGGGTAAGGGTAGATGCTGTTGAAAATAGGCACAGGGATCTTATTCTTTGGAATTTGGATTGGAAAAAAAACATGCATGTGTAATAGCTCTGTTAGTTTAATAAGCACAATGTTGAGATTTTTTTCCAGCATAAACAATGACTATGAGCATCACAGTGAACTAGAAAAATCTCAGCTTGACAATATATGTCCATTTTTAATGAGATTAGACAGAGGTTCGAAAGTGAGATCAAGATGAAATAAATATTATTCAACAGGTTTTATTAAAACGATATAAGTTGGTTCAATTTTTTTCTTTACAGCAAGTAATTTCATGAATTTATTAAATAAATATTAATTAAACAACATGTAGCAAGTCTGAGGCCCTGTCTTAGGCACAGAGAACATAAAGGTGAGAAAGGCTAATAAAGTCTTTGCATTCCTATATCCAAAAATTACTCGGGGAAGGCAGAAAATTGAAAACAGGTATTACATATTAAGGCCCTGTTATGAAAAGGAAACAGGATACTGTACACTTATGAAAAATATTAAATTGTAACCATAAGTGTTCTGGCTATATAAT
Source organism: Homo sapiens (assembly GCF_000001405.40). NCBI lineage: Eukaryota > Metazoa > Chordata > Mammalia > Primates > Hominidae > Homo > Homo sapiens. The sequence goes on along the minus strand of NC_000004.12, from coordinate 85,715,651 downwards.
AATTTCCTGATAACAGTAAATTTTGTGATTAAGTAAATCTATTCTAGAGTCAAACTGCCTAGGTTCAGGTTCCCATTAACACCTTTTAGTCACATGACTTCAAGCAAACTATTTCTCCCCCTTCCTCAGGTTCGTCATCTGTAAAATGGGATAAAAATAGATCCTACTTCATGGCATCATTGTTAGCTAATACATGCGAAGTTTGTACAAAAGTGCCTGGTACACAGTATTTATTATTTTAATATTTAAAAATCTAATATACCAGACCTTTAAGCTATTTTGGGCCCATATTTTGCAAATCCCCAAATAATGAAATGATTGTAGTAAAGTTTCAATATATATCTGCTAGTATTATAACCTAGGTGAGTAAACAGAGAGATAAACTAACTAGAAAATTTGAAGTCAGTTTTTACTATCGTGTTTGCAAGGCTAGAATAGTTAGTAAAACAAGTAAACCTCTAATTAGCAATCTAATAATAAATACCATAGCGTTTGATGTTGATAAGGATGATTAGTGATATTTCTTGACTATTACTTTGCTAAACACTTTGCATGTAATTTATGTCATTAATTTACCCAATTACTCTGTAACATAGGTATTTCTCTTTTTATAAATGAGAAAATTAAAGCTCAGGGAACACCAGGCAGACTCTGTCATGATAAATTCTTAATACATATTTGTGTGAATAAAAAGTAATGGAATAAATGCAAACTGCTTTAAGGATTTACCATTAGCTGTTAAGCCAATTTATGTTCCTCTTTCTAATCAATGGCTGCTATTAAAGCAGTTTGGGGAAGTTTTATAAATAGTTATCAAGTTCTTCTTAGCTTCTGAAATTAGTTACATAGATTCCTGGGGGTACTACCAGGGGGAGAAAAGAGATGGGAAGACTTGCAAATTGGTAACCATTTTGGAATCTACCCTAGTAATTCTGATGCATAATTTTTTGGGAGAACACTGACCTAAGCATTGTTATAAATTTCCTTATAGAAAACTGTAGCATACTATCAATAAAGCCGTACACACTGTAGAATGTACTACATTCTCAGCTAATAAAAACACAAAAGCAAGGAAAACATGTAATATTTCCAAATCATTGTTTAAATTTAAAATGACAAAAATAATTGTATGAGACTATTTTATAATTAGCAAATAAATAGAAACAAATAATCAGATGTCTCATCTTGCTATTTTATATTGTAAACTGCAGATCTACACTTGAGAAGCATTATCATTCTGGGCTCATTTAATTTTAAAGTGTTTTCATTATATTATTTAATATTACAGGTATTCAGATCCTAGGAGACTAACAGGAGAGCATTAATTTTGATAGAGAAAAAGATATGTAGTATTTTGAGTGTCCCTGATATAACTCATTTTAAAACGTTTAACACTTTCTTTTTAGACCGGAGGATCCTTTACCCCATGTTAATTTCCACACTGGACAGAACAGGAGAACATGAATTTCTTCTCAGATAGAGTTTTCCTGCATGAGCATTCTTCTTGGGAGCATAGCCATCACCAATCTAGCTACCATACGGTCACTTCTGTTTTTCAACATGTTTTGATTCATTGGAGGATGGAGACATTCCTCGATTGTGAGAGGAGGCACATTGGAAATGAGGGAAAGGAAGACTTGATTCTAAAACCAAAAGTCTACAATCACACTCTCAAAATTGTAAGAGACCTAGAAATTAGCTTTCTTAATATACATGTATTATATGAACCACTCTGTAATATTACAGGCATTCAACATTTGTCTGGAACATCCCACTACCTTTCTTGAGGTGCTCTTTGTTATTTTTGAAAAATTTTAATTGAGAGGAAAACTAATGCAAATGTTGACACAAAACCACCTGCCAACAATTTCCATTCCAAGTTCCTCCACTTGGAGTGCCTTTTCCCACCCTGAATTGTAATAAGTAACATCTACAGAGGTTTACTATGTGCCAGAACTATTGTCATCTTACAGAAGGAATGGTAAAGCACCAGTAATTTGAGGAGCATGCAGCTGATAGTCAGAGACACAATTGATCTTGAGGAGTCCAAGCTCCACTTCCTTAACCAGATCTTCTGTGAAGGCAGACGTCCTGTGATTTATTGGCTCCTTCACTTATTCATTTATCCATCAAACATAGATGTAGGACGTTGAAAATGCCAACATGCTTAGAAAAAAATGAAACTGTTAATATAGGTTATTTTTGGATAGTCAGGTTATAGATGATTTTTATTTTGCTAAATTTTTCTATTTAAAATATATTTTTAAAAAATAATGAGTACATATTACTTGTGCACTAAGAAAAACATAGAAATATGTTTTTATTAATTAATGAACTTATCTTTTTGAGATAGGGTCTGACTCTTTCACCCAGGCTGGAGTACAGTAGTGAAATCACAGCTCACAGCAACCTCAGCCTCCCAGGCTCAAGCCACCTCAAATCTTAGCTTCCTGAGTAGCTGGGACTCCAGGGACTCCAGGTGCATGCCACCACGCCTGGCTAATTTTTAAATTTTTTGTAGAGATGGGGTTTTGCCATAATGTCCAGGCTGGTCTCAAACTCCTATGCTCAAACGATCTGCCCATCTCAGACTCTTCACGTGCTGGGATTATAGGCGTGAGCCACCACGCCCAGCCTAGACATACATTTTAAAAGCAAACAAAAATGACAGGAGACGGCAGGGTTGCACAGGGGCATTTGGGAACCTTAAACTTAGTTTTCTGCCTTGCAGTAAGGACTGTGGAAGACAGCCCTAGAAAATGTGTAAATATAGTATCACTTACTGAATAATGGCCACGGAAAGATGTCAGGTCTTAATCCCCGAAACCTGGAAATATTACTTTATTAGAAAACAGGGCCTTTGCAGATGTGATTAAAGAGCGTGACAGAGAGATTCTCCTGGATTATCTGGGTAGACCCTAAATCTAGTAGAAAGTGTCCTTATAAGAGGGACAGGGAGATTTGGTTCACACAGAGGAGAGGCTACATGAACGTGGAGGCAGAGATGGGTGTGACACAGCCACAAGCCAAGGGTTGCTGACAGTCACCAGAAGCTGGAAATGAAAAGGGACAGATATCCCCCCAAACCCTCAGAAGACAGTCTAGTCCTCCACACCATGACTTCAGACTTATCTAGGAGATAATAAATGTCTTTTGTTTTAATCCACCAAATTTGTGACAATCTGTTACAACAGCCAAGGGAAACTAATACAAAAAAGGTGGCAACAACTCTTCCAATGACCTAGAAAGGAGCCTGTAAACAGCTGGGGTTTTAAAATGAGTCCACCCTAAACACTCAAATGCTGGTAAATGGTCCTAACAGTTAATTAGTCAATCATTTTTGGGGAGAATCCAGGGTGTGCAAGGCATTCTGAGAGGTGGTAACCAGAGAAAATCCTTTCTGACCCCACCCTCTTCTCTCTTAACAGGAGGAAACCGTTAAACCAGTCACGTTAATGTCCTTGGAACCCCAAGGCAGAGTATCTGTGGCAAGAAACCGTGTTCAATTACTAAATGTCATTTTACAACTTTTATTATTTCTCAACTAGGAAAAGAAATGTGAACTGTTCAGGGGTTGGTAAATGACACATGTCTGAAGCAAAGTCTATGGCAATAAGATAAAAAGAAAAAGAATAGGGAGGGTTTTGAAGTTTGTGTCTCATTATGAAACAGAAATGTGAAGAGCGAAAAATGGTCATAGCTATGCAATATTTACTATGCGAAACTCTAGGACTCTAAAGAGAAGGGCCCAATAAGCTATTATCTGTGGACCAGAAAATTGATGATAAAATAGCCTCATTTGAGATCTTATTTTAATTAACTAATAAACCCTCTGTGTGTTTAAAAAATTAAGTGGAAAGGACCTAGAATTAACCTTGGAAGAAGCTATATAATCTCTAAGTCTGGTGTACCAAAATAACCTGATAACGCTGAATACAATGACCTTGCTAATTTTTTAACAACCAAGTAAAATTGTTTTATAGCTACGTTAATAATTTTCCACATATTTGAATCTTAAATTTAGAAAGTTTCATAGGGAGAACAATGTCTCAGCAGGAAGAAGCAATTTGGGACTTAATCACACAGTTGCTTTTGACATTCTGAATTTGATTTTTAAAAAATCAATTTGATGTAAACTTTTAATAGTTTTCATTTTTAAACTAAGATAATATTTTATCTATTCATAGATTAAAATTAAAAATAAAAGTAATATGCAGAGAAAACAACATATTTCACAAAAACATTAATACTTTCGCTATAAGGTTGATTTTTTAAGTTTTAAGTTCAGGGGTACGTGTCCGGGTTTGTCATGGGGGTTTTTTATATAGATTTTTTTGTCACCCAGGTACTAAGCCTAGTACCCAATAGTTATTTTTCCCACTCCTCTCCCTCCTTCCACCCTTTATCCTCCAATAGGCCCCAGTGTCTGTTGCTCCCCTCTGTGTTCATGTGTTCTCATCATTTAGCTGGTGCTGACGAGAGAACATCTGGTATTTGGTTTTCTGCTCCTGCATTAGTTTTCTAAGGATAATGATCTCCAGCTCCATCCATGTCCCTCTAAAGGACATGATCTTGTTGTTCTTTTATAGCTGCATAGTATTCCATGGTATATGTGTACTACATTTTCTTTATTTAATCTACATGGGTATTTAGGTTGATTCCATGTCTTTGCTATTGTGAGTAGTGCTTCGATGAACTTACACATGTATTGTCTTTATGACAGAATGATTAATCTTCCTTTGTGTACATACACAGTAATGGGATTGCTGGGTCAAATGGTAGTTCTGTCCCACCAAGAGTGTATAAGCATTCCTTTTTCTCAGCAACCTCGTCAGCACCTGTTATTTTTTGACGTTTTAATAACAGCCATTCTGACTGGTATGAGACGGTGTCCCATTGTGATTTTGATTTGCATTTCTCTAATGATCAGTGATGTCGACCTGTATTTTCATATGCTTTTTGGCTGCATGTGTGTCTTCTTTTGAAAAGTGGTCATGCCATTTGTCCACTTTTTAATGGGGCTTGTTTTCTTCTTGTAAATTTTTTGAAGTTCTTTATAGATGCTAGATGTTGGACCTTTGTCAGAGGCATAGTATGCAAATTTTGCTCCCATTCTGTAAGTCTTCTCTTTACTCTGTTGATAGTTTCTTTTGCTGTGCAGAAGCTGTTTAGTTTAATTAGATCCCATTTGTCAATTTTTGCTTTTGGTGTCTCTGTCACGAAATATTTGCCTATTCCTATGTCCAGAATGATATTGCCTAGGTTGTCTTCCAGGGTTTTTACATTTTATCCATTTTGAGTTGATTTTTGTATATGTTATGAGGAAGGGGTCCAGTTTCAATCTCCTGCATATGGCTAGCCAGTTATCTCACTATCATTTATTGAATGAGTCCTTTCCCCACTGCTTGCTTTTGTCAGCTTTGTTGAAAATCAGATGGTTGTACGTGTGCGACCTTATTTCTGGGTTCTATTCTGTTCCATTGGTCTATGTGTCTGTTTTTGTACCAGTACCAGGCTATTTTCGCTGTGTAGTATAATTTGAAGTTGGATAGCATGACTCCTCCAGCTTTGTTCTTTTTGCTTAGGACTGCCTTGGCTATTTGGGCTCTTTTTTTAGTTCCATATAAATTTTTAAATAGTTTTTTTCTAGTTCAGAGAAGAATGTCATTGGTAATTTGATAGAAAAAGCATTAAATCTATAAATTTACTTGGGCAATATGGCCATTTTAATGATATTAGTTCTTCCTATCCATGAGCATGGAATGTTTTTCCATTTGTTTGTATCAACTCTGATTTCTTTGAGCAGTGGTTTGTAGTTCTCCTTGTAGAGATCTTTCACTTCCCTGGCTAGGTACTTTATTCTTTTAGTGGCAATTGTGAATAGGCATGTGTTCCTGATTTGGTTTGTGTCTTGACAGTTGTTGGTATATAGGAATGCTAGTGATTTTTGTACATTTTGTATCCTGAGACTTTGCTGAAGTTGTATATCAGGTGAAGGAGATTTCCTTATTTATTTGTGTGCTGACAAGGGGTCATTAATAAAATGCTAAATTGAAGTGATGATAGTAAATATTCTTAACTTAGTCCTAGTAGTAAAATGGATGCTTTTAATATGTCATCACTGGTTATGATGATGGCTGGAGGTTTTTTTTAACAAGATACTGTGCTCTTTAACATTTCAAGGGGTTCCCCTCTATTCCTAATTTACTAAGAATTGTTTTGTTTTCATTTTAATATCAGGAATGGGTGTTACATTTTATTATTACTATTTTTATCTGTGGAGATAATCATATGATATTTTATCTTGTAACCTGTTATGATATTAATAATTAATTATTAAATCTTAAGTGAAGCAGAGCAGATACTATATCTATATAACCATTTCATTTCTCTCCTGGGCACTCAGCAAAATTTTACTTCCCAGGCACCTTTGCATCTAGGTGAGATCATGTGACTGAGTTCTGACAACTACTAAGAAAGGCAGAAGGGTAGTGCTCAGGGATTGTAGCCCTAGAATGCCATGCTTTCTAAAGACCTCAAGAATAGACCTACATTCTATTTATTTATCTATCCTTAATAGTTTAAAGGGTACTGGGAATATAGAAGGCACAGATAAAAGTTTACTGAATGGCTGATTAAATGAAGCCACCTAATCTTTTGGAGAGTTTCAGTATCTATAAAATAGGGATAATTTTAACAATGCATACTTAAACGAACATAGAGATAACTTGGAGATTAAAATTAAATAAGGCATGTGGAATTTGTAAACTGTAGGACTCTATAGAAAAGATCATTTTATTTTGTTCTTTTATTCTCCCAGGAGAATTTATTTTGTCAAATGATAATAGATATGAAGGTAAAATTGCTTTCTTAGGCGATTTGAGCTCTGTTTTATCAGAAGAATTTAAATATGGTCTGAAAAACCCCTTGGTGGGGTTGTCAGGAAGCGGATGCCAACAGAGTGCGCCCTCTGACTTCTTGACATCAGCCTCCTTTCCAACTGAATTGCACCGTGATGGAATAGAGCAGGAAGACGAGTAAGATATGCATTCATCAGGGTTATTTTTAGTAGGGGAAGACAGTAAAGTGGATAAGAGGATAGGCTTGAGATTCTGACAAATTCATTTTAAATTCCAACTTCCATGTCCTAAATATATGACTTTGGGGAAATTGTTATAAATATCTGTACCTCTGTTTTCTCATTAGTAAATGGACCTAAAAAAAAAGAGTCTTACACAGAGGGCTGTTTTGAGGTTTAAATAAAGTTTATAGATGTGAAGTGCATAGCATACTGCTGATACATGGTCAGGGATTAGTAAATAGCAGCTATTTGTTAACATCATTTTTCTTTTAAGTCCTGTTTGGTAACTAATTTGGTAATTACTAGAACAGAGTTTTCATACTCCATAAACATCTATTATTATTATTTATATTTATGGTCTAATATTACTATACATATTGAAAAGTGATCACAAATATACATATATTACTCACAGTAACATATGCTGAAGAATAAACGAGGCCTGAACAAGAAAGTATTTGATATGTCTGTGAGTTTTCAGGTTCATTTTGCAGGGAGATTTTCTTTGGCAAATTAGGAAATGAAGACCAGCAATCCTCTGACCTAAAACTAGTCCAAGTTCTGAACAGCAATTTCCTCAGCTCTCTCAGATCATTATGCCACCTACCAATGACAGGCAGGTGGAGATCGGAAAAAAAGAAGCCTATCATTTCCTTTTTCTTCTAAAAAAGAAATACACAATTAACAAGTAATTTATGACCCAAACCAGCTGCGTTGTGAGTACTCAGAACTCAGGGTGCAATAGTCATGCTGGTCTCCTTTTCATTTCCGGTTGAGGTAATCAACTTTCATTCTTGTGCCGGAGACATCAGTGACCTAATTTTTGCCTAGGACAATAAATGGTCCAACTTTAATAATGTTCATTAGCGGTCCATTCCTTTTTTCAAGAAAATAGCACATATTGGGTCCTGCACATGTGTCCAAAGAGCAGAAACTCTTTTCAACTATTTCTATTTCTAACAAAAAATAAAAAATCTATAAGGGATCCCTGCTTGTTATTACCTATGTGTTTATCCAGAAGTTTCTGAGGATCTAAAGTCTGAATTTAAAATCAACTTGTATTTTATGATTATTATAACCACCAAAGAATCAATGGAGCATATTATTGGAAATATTTTGCTAGACACGGTGAAAATAAAAGTTAAATAACGTTCTTATCTCAGTCAAAATAAAATACTAATTCAAGAAGCACAAGGACGCATTCAAACATTTCTCTGGTGAGGGAAAAAAAAGCACAAACAGGTCATCCATATTTCAGCATTCTCTTTACCCACAACATCTGGTAAAAATATATCCTTGCATGGGTGTATAGTAGTGATATTAGCAAAGAAATCTGAATTTAAAGTACTATAAAGGCTGGGTATGGTGGCTGATGACTGTAATCCTATCAATCAGTTTGGGAGGACAAGGTGAGAGGATTTTTTGGCACCAGGAGGTAACAGCAAGGGCAATATAGCAAGACTGTGCCTCCACAAAAAATTTTTAAAAATTAGCCAGGCTTGGTAACATGCTCCTATAGCTCTAGTTACTCAGGAGGCTGAGGCAGGAGGATAACGTTAGCCCAGGAGTTCAAGGCTACAGTGAGCTATGATAGCACGACTGCACTTTAGCTGGGTGACAGAGCAAGACCCTGTCACAAAACAACAACAAATCCACTATAAACAAAATAAGGCGTTCATTTAATATATCTCAAAAATACATCTTTTTGGCTGGGTGCAGTGGCTCACGCCTATAATCCCAGCACTTTGGGAGGCCGAGGCGGGCGGATCACGAGGTCAGGAGTTTGAGACCAGCCTGACCAACATGGTGAAACCCCGTCTCTACTAAAAATACAAAAATTAGCCGGGCATGGTGGTGCCTGCCTGTAACCCCAGCTACTCAGGAGGCTGAGGCAGGAGAATCACTTGAATCCAGGAGGTGGAACTTGTAGTGAGCTGAGATCACGCCACTGCACTCCAGCCTGGGTGACAGAGTGAGATTCCATCTCAAAAGAAAAAAGAAAAAAAAAAACAAAAACAACATCTTTTTGAAAAGCACGTGTTTCAGGGAAATGTGTTTTGTGTCTAGTGGAAATCTGTTTCACTAGATTTTTAAAGTATATTAATGATGGTTAGTTATAGAAAAATGTTGATATAAAAGTGGACTCTATATTAAAATTTCTTATTATGACAGATGAGTTTTAGTAAGCAAGATGAAATTTTACATTATCAGTTCTTAGCTAGTAGTTTCCACAGTACATTAATCATTTTTATTTAATAAGCAAAATGTATTTTTATTAAATTGCTTTACAATATGGTATATCCAGTGATTCAATGGATGTAACATTTAACAGATTGGAGGTCCATCAAAAAAAAGAATTTCTCTAACAATTTTACATCTACACATCACATAAAGTAGTTTAAAGTTACTCAGTTCATCCCCCTACCAATGCCTGAATTCTGTCTTCATCCAGCTTGAGGAAGATCACTTCATAGTGGTCACCTCCGATCTTTTTTAAGTTCTACTTCATACCCAGCTGAAATCTGGCTCTTGAGAATATCTGTGCCCTCTCCCCTGCAACCATTGGCTGAGAATATCCTATGGTTCTTGACATCTTTAAAGACACCTACCATGCCCCCATTGTCTTCCTTTCCCCTCTTGATATTTTATTCATCTGTTAAGAAAATTAACCTCCAGACCCCTCATGACTCAGATATTCCTCCTAAATCTATGCTTATTTGTCACTATAACTGTTACAGCCTGGTGCTCTAAAACAGTATCCAACATGAGAAGCCATAGAAGAGAGAATAAAAACATGAATTCTAGAGTCAAACTGTCTTTTTTCACATATAAACTTTACTCCTTGTTAGGTACAACTTTGAGCAAGTTCCTGACCTTCTCTCTGCCTCATTCTCTTCATCTATAAAATACAGATAACACTAGCAATTAACTCATATGACCGTTGATAGCTGAACACGATGCCTGCATGTGGTAAGCACACGAAAAAATGGTCATTTCTAAAAATGCTGGACTATAACCTTCCCTATCTACATAATGGAATTCAATCAAAAGGTTCTAAAATGTTGCTATCTCTACAGGTGTTCTGATTACATGGTTGTTGCTCACAGTGAGTGTGTAGTCACTTCCCACGTGAATATTTACATGCATGCAAGTCATATTATATTCATTCAAGTAATTATTGAACTTCAATATGTATATGTCTTATTTGTACATGTATATTCGTATATTTTGTTAAATTTTCTTGTTAGAGTCAAAAAATTAAAATTTAAAATATAGTATCTGTCATATGTGTAAATTTTAATACTTTATAAATAATTTTTAAATATATCCTATATAAACTTGGTAAAAATCTCATATTTCATTAATTTTATAATTTGCATTTTCTCATTTTATATTTTTTAATTTGGGATACATCTTATAGACAATGGTAGATCATAATTCAAATTATAGTGTGTTATTATTCTTAGTAATACCTAAAATGATGGTATGTCTTACATTTGATTTGGTCTCACATTAACTGAACTATGGTTTAAATGTGAAGAATAGGTATATCAATCATAAAAAGCAACAAAATCTAAAGGAAACTCTCATCTTTTCTACTTTCCTAAGTGATTCCATTCTACTTAGATTTATCCACTCCAAACTTTTAAAACTTATTGACCCTTGGTCAATCAAAGTACCTTATGATGTTTTCTTACTTTTCATTAAAAAAATTCTATCTGGTTGCTTATACATTCAAAAATCTTTAATAAGCCCTACTATATGCCAGATACGGTACTGAGGACATAGTACTTAAAAACAAAGAACAAAATATAAGTTAACAAAAATGAAATGTAGAACCTGTCCTCGGAGTTTCCTTTGTAATTAACAAAGAGAAATATATGCCATATGATGCCACTTATTACTAAGTTGTTAAAAATATTTTTAAATAAATGAAGACAAAGAACTGAGTATCATAGTTTTTAATCCCTCCACAGGTCACAGCACATCGTCTTATATCCAGTAAATGGAAAATACATTCAGTACTTCATGAAGGTACTTTGGCAAAAGTTACATTTAGATACTGCCCAACTTCTCCTATCACTACCATATTTTTTCTTATTTTTTGATGGCCTCCATTCCAAAACTATCTTATAAGATAATTTTCTCATGGTGGTCAATAAATTTTAACTCATAAATAAGGGGTTTGATGCCAAGACTTCAACACATTCTCATAAGCATTTTTAGAAAAGTTGAGGAAGAAATGGTTTCTTTGACTAAAAGGCTGGAAGCTACAATGATAGAAAGAAGATATATTAAAGTGCAGTATTAAAAACCTGTATGCAAATGTACATAGTGGATCTACTAATAAATCTGACAAATGGGGTACAACCTAAATATTTTTCAGCAACTAACTGGACAAAAAAAAACTGTATATATGCATACAATTGAATTGAATACTACTCTGCAGTGAAAAGTAAGGAGCTACTGATAACACACAACAGCACGCAAGAATTTCAGGTGCATTACGTTCAATGAAAGATGACAGGCTCAAAGGTTACATGCTATAGATTGCATAATATAACTTTCTGGCAAAGATAAAACTTCAGGGACAGAAAATATACCAGTCATTGCCAGGGGCTGAGGGTGGGGGAGCGGATGACTGCAAAGGGGCATTGGGGATTTTTTTGGGGGTAGCATAACTGTTCTATAGTTTGATTGTGGTGGTGATTACATAACTCTATGTAAATTATACCTCAATAAACCTGACTTTAAAAATGTAGTGTTGTTGATGCTCTGGGGTGTTGGAGAGTGCCTTAGTCTGTTTGGGCTGCTATAACAGCCTACCACAGACTGAATGACTTATAAAAAGGATAAATGTCTTTCTCACAGTTCTGGAGGTTGAGAAGTTCAATATCAAGGTGCCAGCAGATTTGGTGTCTAATCAGGGTCAGCTTTCTAGATGTCAGTGTTTTTGCTGTAACCTCACATGGCAGAAGAGGCAAGGATCTCTCTGGGGCCTCTTTTATAAGGGCACAAATCTCATTCTTGAGGGCACTACCCTCATGATGTCATCAACTCCCCCAAGTTCCCACCTTCTAATTTCATTATCTTGGGGGTATTTTGATGTGTTAATGAAGTAGGGGACACTAACTACAAACATTCAGAACATAGAAGAGGGTTGCCCACTGCTGCCAGCCAAGTCAACGTAAAACAGTACTTCATCCTTACTGGGTGTCTAGGACCATCTGTCATCTCATCTCATCTACCCTGAACATCTACCACACTCAATGCAGAGAAAACAGTAGTGCCTTTCACATGACACGTACTAAAAATATTTGTAGAATGGGAAGCTGACTAAATGAATAAAAAACACGTGAATGAATTTCTTACAAGTCTATGGTCTTGGTGACCAGGCAACTTTTAATTATTCTATTTCCACTGCCTTAAAGGATAAAATCTACTTCTTTCATAGCCTCATTTTTATCAACAATGACCCAGTTGTTTTAGTCATAATCTTGGTAGGATCCTTAGTTTCTTTTATATTCATTTTTCTCTTCTCTATTCTTTCCCACAAGTAAATTCTCCTTTCACATGCTTCTCGGTGGGGGTCTCACTTCTGACCTCCACCTTTGCCTTTCTCTGTCCATCACAGCTGGCCACAAAGAGCCTTCCCTGTCACTGTTTTGAGTATATTTTGTATTTCTCAGACCCCTTCATGGGTCACTTATAACAAGTTAAAATTTCTGTTTATGCAATAATGAAAGCTGAAGTGAAATATTCAAAACTGAGTACAAATGATGCTGTAAATTAAACATGCATTTAAATCTTGACAATCTAGTAATATATTCTGCAAACAACCTCATTACAGGACATCAAAACTCACAAACCCCAGGGCGAACGAATGCAAAACAGAAGACAACATTTATACTTTTGTTTCTTGTATTTCATTGAATAACTTATTGACAATTTGTGTAAAAAAGTTTATCAAATTGAAGGGACTAATTTTTTATTGTGTTTCAATAATGTATCTTATAATACTTTAGAGCCTATAAAATATGAATATATGTTAATGTATATGAAAAGATTTCAAAAACACTTTTAAGAAATAAATTTTATAAAATAGCTGTCAAAAATGTTAATTATTAATTAAGTTGATATTTGTTTGCTATGCTGCTAATAAATAACCTAAAACAATCATTTTAAGGTATGCATTATTCTAATTTTAAGAAAGTTGCATCTGTATAAATACAATGTACATCTGTTTCTCTAGGCAGAAGAAGAAAAGTAGAGATTTTTTGAAAACTTGTTTGGCTTCTGTATTTTGTTCTGCGTTTTCACCAAAACATAACAGAATGTACTTCCCCTTTCAAGTTACTACTCTTCCTTTGTCTATATATTTACATATGCTAGAGTCATAAAGAGAGAAGCTTTATTACATGTGTGGGTGTATATATTATATACATATATCTTATAACTAGAGAGAAAGGAAAAAGAGAGACACACATTCATAGGCTGATAGGAATGGAGTAGAGATGAAACAACCTTTCAGAAGAAAAATATGTACCATGGGTTGATGGACTTTTGGACAGTCTTCCTTAGACTCAGGAACTGAGTCCAAATCTCTGGTTATTTTGTTCTCTCAGGCAAGACATGAAGGAAGTGTGATCTGACCACATTGCAGATGGTTTGGATAATCAGCATTCAAAAAAGAATTTTTATTAAATCCATTTACCATATGTTTCCATTAAGCTGGAGCCTCTATTGTATTATACAAACACACATAGTACACACATATCTATATATGAATCTTGATGTCACTAACTCTATACTTTGTGCTAATGTAAGAGTTTACTGGGTTCTTGAACATCTGTCAGGACCACCCAGACAATTCTGAATTGTAAAAAGAAAAAAATTCAGTCAACCAAAATCTGACCAGATAAGACATGAAATGTAAGGACAGGCTTTTGTATTTGTGACAGCTGTCCCAAATTCTTCATTGATTGATGTATTTATTTTACAGTAGGATGCAATCACTGTAAAATAATTGCCATCTTAAGATGCATACGGTACAGTTTTTTTGAAAAGATGCAAACAGCAAAATTGATAACAAAAACAAAACAAGATGATATTGGGTACTCAGGGTGGGAAATGTTGGGAGATGGGTGAGGGAAAAAAGAAGATATATTGGGTGCAGTGTACAGCGCTCAGGTGATGGGTGCACTAAAATCTCAGAAATCACCACTAAAGAACTTACCCATGTAACCAAAACCTGCCTGTACGCAAAAATTATTGAAATAAAAGATTAAAACAAAACAAAAGGCTATGAGGCAAGGAATATAATAAATCGATAATGTGATTAGGAAGATAAAATGTGTTTTATGTCTAGTGTGGCCATACGCAAGAAGAAATATAAGTAGCTGATGGAGGGAGAGATAATAGCAAGTGGTTACTATCACATCTCCTTTCCTATAAACCTTTTCTTTAAAAATTCTGTAATTATAATGACAGAGAGACTAATGAAATACCCAAAAGTTATTCACTTTATTTCTTATAATGAAATATTTCTTCCAATTCCAGATCATCTTAATTCATGAATTTCCAAGGGGAAGGATTTCTCAAGGAATAAATATTGGAAATTATGTCTACATAAAAAATACAACAGTGTGAAACAAACAAAGAGAGATATTTTATTTTTGTTTTGCCTGCTGGAAGATACTATATAAAGGAAAATATACCAGATAAATTTCAAAAATAGAGTGATTTTCCATTTTTTTCTCTAGTGATATCTTACATTCACCATGTCTACTTTACATCAAACTCTTCATAATAAAAGAGTCTTTTTAGTGGAGTCAGTATAAGTTCACGTTTCAAGCTCAGACTTCTAACCTTGATTTGTTATTCATATATACTGCTCTTTCTCTACTTGGATATCTAACACACAACATTAAGTGACCACAAACAGAACTAAGCTCTTTAACCACCACCTCCCCAACCACCATTACCACCACCCATCAGCTGGCTTCCCCTGTAATCCTTCCTATCTCCATTGATGGCAATTTTGTCTTTCAGGGTATTCAGCCAAAAATCTTGAAGTTACGTTTGACTTTCCTCTTTTGCACCACGTCAGCTGCATTAGCAACTCCTGTTGGCTCCATTTTCTTCTTCTTCTTTATTTATTTATTTTTTTTTTTTTAGACAGAATCTCACTCTTTCCCCCAGGCAGGTGTGCAGTGGCATGATCTTGGCTCACTGCAACTTCCACCTCCCGGGTTCAAGCAATTCTACCTGCCTCAGCCTCCCCAGTAGCTGGGATTACAGGCACCCATCCTTACACCTGGCTAATTTTTATATTTTTAGTAGAGATGGGGTTTCACCATGTTGGCCAGGCTGATCTCAAACTCCTGACCTCAGGTGATTCACCCACCTCTGCCTCCCAAACTGCTGGGATTACAGGTGTGAGGCACCATGCCCGGCTCAGCTCTATCTTCAAAACAGATGTACTGGTCACTTATTACCTCTACTGTGTGATCTCCTCAGGAAAGTAAAAATCATTGCTAAGTATGAGGTTTAAAATCTCAATCCAGCTTGTGTAACATAGTGTTTCCTTAATATTATTAATTTTTAATGGATAAATGTAATATTTTTCTATAGATAACTTTGTAGCTGTTCTTTTATTCACTCAACAATATATATTAAATGCCTACTATGGGCCAGGCACTATTCTAGGTACTTTGGATACATCAGTGAACAAAATAAAGATCTCAGTCCTAGTGGATCGTATACTTAATGGGAGACAGACAATAAACAATACACAAAATGAATACATTATGTACTACCTTAGAAGATGATAATGACTGTTCAGAAAAGAAAAAACAGTAGAGAAAGTGAAGTCAGGAGTTATAGCGGGGTGGGGAGGGTGTTGGTTAACAGTTTTAAATAGGGTGGTAAGGATATCTCTCTGAAAAGTAAATTAAAAAAAAAAAATTGAGACAGGGTCTTGCTCTGTTGCCCAGGCTGGAGTGCAGTGGCATGATCATAGCTCACTGCAGCCTCAACCTCCCAGGTTCAAGTGATCCTCCCACATCAGCCTCCCAACTAGCTGGGACTACAGGCAGGCACCACCACATCTGGCTAACTTTTTTGAAAAATTATTTTTTGTAGAGACAGGATATCACTATGTTGACCAGGCTGGTCTCAAACGCCTGGGCTCAAGTGATTTTTCCACCTCAGCCTCCCACAGTGTTGGGATTACAGGTGTGAGCCACTGTCCAGTTTGAAAAATGAAATTTTTAATGGACACTCATCAGTTTGATTTCCTTCTGCATATCTAGGAAGAAGATTAACAAGGAGGTGCCAAGAATAAAATGACATATACTGCTGTAGTCTCTGATTCAAATCTTTCTCTATATCCATCATAGGATCATGTTTGTAAGGGAAAAAGCAAAGAATAGATGGGACAAGGATGCAACCAAAAATATCCACTTATGGGCTGAATATTTGTGTCTCCCCAGAATTCATATGTTGAAGTCCTAATCCCCAAAGTAATGGTAATTAGAGATGGGGTCTTTAGGAGGTTTTTAGATGAGGTCATAAGGGATGTCATGGTGACATGGTCAAAGGAGGAGCAAGTGGGGGGTGGTGGTACCACACACATTTCAATGACCAGGTCACAGGAGAACTCACTATCACAAAGACAGCACCGGCTATGAGGGACCTACCCTCATGACTCAAACACTTCCTGCCCAGCCCCACCTCCAGCATTGGGGTTACAACTTAACATGAGATTTGGGTGAGGACAAATATCCAAACTATATCAAAGAGTGTCCTTGCTAGGTCGCTCTTTGTCATGGGAGGACAAACTATGAACGTGCTATGTGGAAGCCAGGAAGAAGCCCTCGCCAGAACCCAACCATGTTGGCGCCCTGGTTTCAGACTTTTAGCTTCCAGAACTGTGAGAAAATAAATGTCTGTTGTTTGAGCCACCTGGTCTATGATATTTTGCTAAGGCAGCAGGAAGAGATTAACAGACCACTACAATGTTAAGTGTTGAAACTTTACAAATGTGAGCCTATGAAGCCAGGAAGGATGTTATATAGAGA
Organism: Homo sapiens; assembly: GCF_000001405.40. Lineage (NCBI taxonomy): Eukaryota > Metazoa > Chordata > Mammalia > Primates > Hominidae > Homo > Homo sapiens. The sequence continues at coordinate 85,698,488 of NC_000004.12, read as the reverse complement.
AGTTCCATGTTCAAATACAATTTATAGTGCCTCCCAAATGTTGAGGCATTTAACATTCAAAGAATCCCACAAAATCATGTTAATGATCTCTCTGAAGAATTTCTGGATCTGCCCACTTTCTATATTCTATAGATACACTTGCAGAGTTTACTTACACTTAGTCCCCCAGCTCCCACTCTTTCCTCCCCAGGCAGACAGTCACAGAAACCCTGCCAACCTTCCATGGGTCCAGCAGTCCATCAAATGACTAAAAATGAAGCTGCTCTGGTAAGAAGCCAAGCTCCAAACTGATAACAATGTTGAAATATCTGTATACCTGAACTAATTTAATTTTGTCATACATTGTCACAATGGACAAAGCCTTAACAAAGTTTTAGTGGGTGCTTGTGTAAGTAGATACTGCTGGCTAGTCTTCCTTCCCACTTCTCCCTTCCTCTCCCACACTCCCCTCAAATACACACTTCTTGCTTAATCTTGCTTTACAAATAATAGTATATGTTTGCCTAAGAAAATATTTCAAGATTAAACAATGAACATGAAATGAAAATGGACTCAGTATTTCTATGAAGTTTTTGTAGCTTTTTCAAATTGGGTGCCCCTAACTTTAATTTTAATGACTCTCTGACACCTCCCTTCACCTCTGGTCAAGGCAGGCTTCCCTTTCCTGCCTGTCTCCCTTCCTCCACCTCACACAGAAACATCCGTTTCCACTTCCTGAGTTTTTCTTATGCTCATCACTTAACCTGGAGTGTCCTTCCAAGTGTGTTCTGATTCCTAAAAGTTCAGCCTCTACCTTCTTCACTTTTTTCCTCAGAAACAGCCCAATTGACTTCCATTTCATTTAGTATGTTAACCTGTCTTCTAGAACATATTAATAGAACTATATTATCCTATTCACTATCTGCTACACAGCTGAGCTTACTGCCAGCAGTATGTTATTGTAAGTATGTTCACTGGTTTTATGCAGACATATTTTTTTAAAATTTATTATTATTATACTTTAAGTTTTAGGGTACATGTGCACAACGTGCAGGTTTGTTACATATGTCCAACAACGATAGGCTGGATTAAGAAAATGTGGCACATATACACCATGGAATACTATGCAGCCATAAAAAATGATGAGTTCATGTCCTTTGTGGGGACATGGATGAAACTGGAAACCATCATTCTCAGCAAACTATGCAGACACATTATCTGTGCACAACTAGATAGTTAAGCTCCTTGAGTATCAAAACAGCATTACATTATTCTTCATAACTTCTTTAGAATGTAGTCCAGTGCTAAGGACAAAGTAATTCTCTCTATAAATAATAATATAAATAATTTTGCTGACAGCATAAATGCATGCCAGTTGACTAATGGAAAACAACACAAAACCATGAGACCCTTTCCTCACTAGCTGATCGTTGGTCCAGTGATTTTCTAAAACTAAAAGGGGATTTTTCTTATAGTTTCAACTGTGGCACATTCATTATCCTCCGATATTATTGCTCACGATTATATCCCACTATCACTCCATATGCATCCTACTAGGAAAAAAGCTTCTGTCATTACTCATCCCTTTCAATGCCTCTTTTTTCCACTGACAAGACAGGGCCATCCTCAACAAGTTGATCAATGTTCCCTTTATCTCACCATTTCTGCATGGTGTCCTTTCATATAAGTCAGCAAGGAACTCTGGCATCTTCTCCCTCTACTCAGTTGAAAGTGCTGCCCCAGATTTAGCTATGAACATGATTTGTTGGGTACTTTTATTCACAATAAGCACAATCCAGTTGTGAGTTAGGTTGAAAGAATGTTATGTCTGTGAGACAACTTCAGCAAACTAAATTGCCATTTGATGTAAAACTTAAGATGTATAACAGGGCATTCAACTTATCTTAAAATAATACAAAAGCATTACAGGCATTAAAAATGAAAATGGAAATACGCTAACAAAAGGAAGGAAACAATTCATGAATCTGAAATGACTCAGGTAAATCATTCTGCTTATTGAATTCTAGATAGGATTGTATATTTCCTGAATAAACATCTACCTTTTCCTTATTCTGATGGTAAAAATATTGTGTAAATATCTTTTCTTCCCATTATTCAAGTTACCAATCTGAATGTTAGACACTAATAAAAGTTGATGATGAAGCAGGAAGAAATAAATACATTCAATATGTATTTACTTTTAGGAATTTAAAAATAGGGCATTTTAGAACTCACTTTTAATAAAAATAAAAGCTGTTGGATCCTAATAAAACACTAATAAAAGCTGATGATGAATCAGGAAGAAATAAATACATTCAATATGTAATTTAATTTTAGGAATTTAAAAATAGGGCATTTTAGAACTCACTTTTAATAAAAATAAAAGCTGTTGGATCCTAAATGAGACCCAGCACTCCCAATCTAGTTCATATATTCTGAGAGATTAAAATAATGAAAAAGTTGGTCTATCTACAAAATACTATATTCTCATTTATCTGTGTATGGCTAAACATAGATGAAAGGAATCTGCTCATACCTCTGGCTGCCTTAAATTATTTGTAACATTGTCAATATATTTCCTTCAGGAAAATAAATTCAAGTTATACTATATCAGTACATGTCCTCTATGGAATTGTATTTGCTATTGGGTACCATATGTACTGTGGATTTGAGATAGGAAGTAACAAACACTGCATAGTATATTACACTAATTAATTTGCTGTTATTCAAATTCAACTAAGAGGAAATTAAATTAATTTACTCTAATGAATATTAACTCATATTAGTTAATTTGAAAACATTCATCTCTAATTTATTTGACTTCCTGCTATTATAACTCATCAAGTGACTTAGGTGTGAGTTATTTAGCTTCAGACTTTTAACATATTAATTTCAATATTTCAGGGTCAGTGACAATCAAATTGAGTACAAATCCTTCATTGATAATCACATTTGCTATGACAATGGGGTTGCCAGCTCAAAATAGAAGGTTGCTAGTTTACAAAGAGACCTCCCACAATAATTTGATTTTTTTCCATCTATGATATGATTGAGCATTCTTATTATGATGGAATATATTTTTATTTTTAATCTCTTTCACTGAGATAAATGAACCAGGAGTTAGCTAAACCTTCCCCATACCCATGTAACAGGCAAACATGTTAGGTGAAGGCAAACCCTGTCTTTATTGGGCACATGCCATGATCTAGGAGAATATGAACCATGGTCTTTAGAAAGTAGCAGAGAACTTACATAGTTGTGTGTCAGCATCACTTAATTTTTTATGTAGAGATGGCTAAATGCAGGAACCAAAACATTATTTTGCTTTACTTTTCACAGAAATAATTCAGAATAGATAAGCTAAAATACGCATATACAACATTAAGATCTTCCAGTTGAGATGAAGTCTGGGTATTTGAATTCTTCTACTAAAATCCCAAACAAAAAATCTGAAGATTTTGCCTAAAATACACCTTGGAGTGTTATGCATAACATTTTACCTCCACTTTAATTGTTGTTGTCGTAATTGAGCTAACAGTTGCACTTGCATTTAATTATTACCATTAATATCTTGTGTGAAATTGATAACTCAGGTATGGCATGTGGGTCTGACTTGTTATTTGAGGAGTTTTATTTAAGACAAGAGCGTCATAGCTAAAAAGCAATATCAAGATGAAGATCCATTGATATAATTAGGAAAGGAAACTCTTTAATATTTTCATATACTTGCCCAACATACTCTTTGTAGCCTGAAACTTAACCTGAGAAAACACAGTTATGTATCAATAAATATATGTATACATGTATATATCTGTTATGTAAAACACATATACACACACACACACAGAGGGTGGAGGGGCCGAGGGAAAGTCAGGGACAGTGTCTTCAAGGATGAGAAGCTTTTTTTTCTCCATGTTTGCAAACAATAGAAACATTTTCTAGTCATTTAGAGATTATAAAAATTAATGCTACTAGTACTATTAATACTTGTTAATAACAATACTAAAGGTTTTATCCATTCATTCAAAAAGTGATTGTGCTGCTCTAGATGCTTGGTATACCGTGGTGAATAGGACAGATAAAGGTCCTACTCCACTAGAGCTTACGTTTGGCTGATGAGTGAATTTTTGATATATGCCAGTGGCAGACTGATTCCAAATCCCGTGTTCTTCCGGCACCACCTAGCTGATTTACAAGTTTCTCCTGCCTTAACACCAGTGGTTCTTTCCCACTTGAACAATCCCGTAGTTTCTCTGAAATTAAAGAAGAGCTGAAGAGAAGGGACAAGATGGCTGACTAGATGCACAAGAAAGTGCTGCTCCCACCAAGAAAGACCAAAATTTTGAGTAAACAACATAATTTGAATAGATTTTCATAACGAAAATGCTAGGAGTAGACGGAGATGCAATGCAGACACTGAAGCTGAAGAGGTAGGAAGCTGTGAACCATCCGTGGGGTACTCAAATGCTAGGGCTAGTTCCTGGCCCTGAAAGGCTCCTGGGGAAGGAGTGGGTGAAGGAACTGTATGACTCTCACCATGGTCCTCTGGGATTCTAGCCACAGGGCACCCCAGGTACCCCATAAACATTTGAGTTGGGAGGCAAATCTGCCTGGAGAGTAGGCAGAGACAGGGCTTCAGCAGGCGTGGAGCCACGGGCCTTGATGCACCTAGCGGCCATAGGCACCCATGCCCCCTGGGCTTTCCATCTCCCTCTAAGAATCTCTAGCCCCAGCTAGATGCCAGGCCAGGAGAAAGTGGGGCCAGCTTCCCTGTTCTGCAGGCCCTCCTGCTCGCCAGCCTCTCCCAGGGCCCTTGCCTGGCTACCCAACAGGAGTGTGTGCATAGAGCAGCTGTTGTTGACCTGGCTGGTGTTTTGCTCCACCTGAGTATGTTTCTAGTGGCCTGGGAGCACTTTGGACCTCCCAGCACACCTGGTGCCCAACCCCAGGTACACAGGATGGAGCCACCAGCAGGTCCCTGTGCCCCAGGGCTGTAGCATGCAGCTTGAGACTGCTAAGCTGAGATGTGTGGCTGAGACTTGAGCCGGGGAGGAACCCACACTCTCAGAGACTGAGGCAGTGAGACATGGGGGTCTGTGGGCTGGCAGGCGAGTGAGTCATGACTCCTTCACGGGGCCAGTTGGGAAAGGATGTGGCCTATTTCTTTGCTGCAGCCTCTGCCCAGGTGAGCCCTGCATCCCAGAACACCTAACAAAAGAAATGTTGATGCAGTGCCAGTGATTGGAGGGTGCTCCCCCAAGGCCCAGGAGTGGACATGGAAATGGGGGTCACTTCTCTACTCCCAGCACTGCAGAGCACAGCAATAAATGTGAGGAAAGACAGAGGAGCAGCCCAGCTGCCAAGTTTGAGCCTATTTACTGGACATTACTCTTAATTGCCATCTACTGGATCACAGTCCAAGCTACAACACCAAAAATATTTTGCTTATATACTCCCCTGTGAAACAATGGGCAAGAGTTCAGCCACAAATAAAGACCCTGTGCAGAGGGTTGGCCACTTGAAAATATCCAGAAATGAATACAATTGACTATACTCAACTTTACCACAGTTAAAGAAACACTAACCCTCCCAGGTGAGAAAGAATCAGCACCAGAACTCTGACAATTCAAAAAGCAAGAGTGTCCCCTCACTTCCAAATGATTCCACTAGTCTCTGACAATGGTTCTTAACCACTCTGAAATGACAGACATAGAGTTTAGAATCTGGATGGCAAGGAAGCTATCGACATTCAGAAGAAAGTTGAAAACCAATCCAACAAATCCAGTAAAATAATCCAAGAGCTGCAAGATGAAATAGCCATTTTAAGAAAGACCCAAACTGAACTTCTGGAGCTGAAAAATTCACAAGAATTTCATAATACAATCAAAATATTAACAGAAGAATAGATCAACCTGTAGAAAGAATCTCAGAGCCCAAACACTGGTTCTTTGAATCAACTCAGACAAAAATAAAGAAAAAAAAATTGTTTAAATGAACAAAACTTCTGGAAATATGGAGTTACACAAAAAGACCAAATCTATGGCTCATTGGCATTCCTGAGACAGAAGGACAGAGAATAAGCAACTTGGAAAATATACTTGAGGATATAGTGCACAAAAATTGCCCTAATCTTGTTAGAGAGGTTGCAAATTCAAGAAATACAGAAAACCCAGGCTAGATACTATATAAGATGACCATTCCCAAGGCACATAGTAATTGGATTCCCCAAGCTCAATGTCAAATAAAAAAATCTTAAAGGCAGATATAGAGAAGGGTCAGATCACATATAGAGGGAACCCTGTCAGGCTAGCAGTGGACTCTTCATCAAAAACTTTACAAGCCAGAAGAGATTGGGGGTCCATTTTCAGCATCCTTAAAGAAAAGAAATTTCAACCAAGAATTTTATATCCCACCAAACTAAGCTTCATAAGGGAAGCAGAAATAAATCCTTTTTAGACAAGCAAATCCTGAGGGAATTCATTTCAACTAGACTAGCCTTACGAGAAGTCCTTAAGAGAATGCTAAATGTGGAACCAATAGAACAACACCTGCTACCAAACAAACACAATTAAGTACATAGCCCACAGACACTATAAAGCAACAACTCTACAATCAACCAGCTAACAACATGGTGACAGGATCAAAACTTTACATATAAATACTAACCCTGAAAGTAAATGGCCAAAATGCCCCACTTAAAAGACACAGAGTGGCAAACTGGATAAAAAAGGTAACACCCAACCATTTTCTGTCTTCAAAAGGTTCACCTTACATGTAATGACACCCACAGGCTCAAAGTAAAGGGATGGAGAAAGATGTATCATACATATGGAAAACAAAAAGAGCAAGGGTCACTATTCTTATATCAGATGAAATAGACTATAAACCAATAACAATTAAGAAGGACAAAGAAGGGCATCGCGTAATGATAAAAGGTACAATCCAACAAGATTTAACTATCTTAAATATATCTGCACCCAACATTGGGGCACCAAGATTAATAAAACAAATCCTTCTTGACCTATGAAAAGAAATAGCCACTTAATAGTGGGAGACTTCAACACCACACTGATATCATTAGATAGATCATTGAGGCAGAAACCTAACAAAGAGATTCTAGACTTAAACTTGGCATTTTACCAATTGGACTTAATAAGAAATCTACAGAACACTACACCCAATAACCATAGGATATACATTCTTCTCATCTGCATATGGAACATATTCTAAGACTGATCAAATGTTTGGTCATAAAGAAAGTCTCAATACATTTTAAAAAAAATCAAAGTCATACCAAGCATACTCTCAGGCCATGGTACAATAAATACAGAAATCAAAATCAAGAAGATATCTGAAAACTACACAATTACATGGAAATTAAACAACTTGCTCCTGAATAACTCCTGGGTGAACATCAAAATTAAGGCATAAATCAAAAAATTATTTGAAGCTAATGAAAATAGAGATGCAACTTACCAAAATCTCTGGGATGCGATGAAAGCAGTGTTAAGAGGACAGTTTATAGCACCAAACACCTTCACCAAGAAGGTAGAGAGATCTCAAATTAGCAACCTTACCTTGCACCTAAAAGAACCAGAATAAGAACAACAAAAGAACATCCAATCCCAAAGCTATTAGAAGAAAAGAAATAACTAAAATTAGAGAAGAACTGAGCAAAATTGAGATGCAAAAGTCCATACAAAAGATCGATGAAACCAAGAGTTGGTTCCATGAAATAAAAAAAAAAAAAACAAGATTGACAGATCACTGGCTAGATTAAGAGCAAAAAAAAAAAAGGGGGAGTGGGCATGGGTGAGAACACCCAAACAAAATTAGAAATGACAAAGATGACATTACAACTAAACCTATAGAAATACAAAAGATCCTCAGAGACTACTATGGGCAAATCTATGCACACACATTAGAAAATCTAAAGGAAAGAGATAAATTCCTGGAAACACACAATCTTCCAAAGTTGAATGAGGAAAAAATGGAAACCCCAAATAGACCAATATCAAGTTCTGAAATTGAATCAGTAATAAAAAATATACCAACACATACACAAAAAGCCCTGGACCCTGAAGTCACAGCTGAATTCTACCAGGCATACAAGAACGAACTAGTACCAATCCTACTGAAACTATTCAAAAATATCAAGGAGGAGGGACTCCTCCCTAACTCATTCTATGAGCTGGAATCAGCCCAATACCAAAACCTGGCAGACACAATAAAAAAGAATTTTTTTTTCTTTTATTTCTGATAAATATCTCTGATGAATATCTCTGATGAATATCTCTGAAGAATATCAATGCAAAAATCCGCAACAAAGACTGGATCAACATAAACAAATCAATAAATGTGATTTACCACATAAACATAATTTAAAATCCATATGATCATCGAAATAAACATAGAAAACTTCCAATAAAATACAACATCCCTTCATGATAAAAACTCTCTACAAACTAGGCACTGAAGGAACACCTCAAAATAAAAGTCATCTATGACAAACTCATGGTCAACATTGTACTGAATGGGCAAAAGCTAGAATCATTCCCCCTGAGAAGTGGAACAAGACAAAGATGACCACTTTCACCATTCCTATTCAACACAGTACTGTAAGTCCTACACAGACTAATCAGGCAAAAGAAAGAAATAAAAGGTATCCAGATAGGAAAAGATGAAGTCAAACTATCTCTCTTTGAGGACTGTGTGATTCTATACCTATAAACCCTAAAGACTCTGACAAAAGGCTCCTAGAACTAATAAATGACTTTAGTAAAATTTCAGGATACATCGTCAATGTACTAAAATCAGTAGCAGCTGGGCATGCTGGCTCACGTCTGTAATCCTGGCACTTTGGGAGGCTGAGGAGGGCAGATCACTTGAGCTCAGAAGTTCGAGACTAGCCTGGGTAACATGGCAAAACCTCGTTTCTGCTAAAAAATACAAAAAAGTAGCCAGGTGTGGTGGTGTGCGCCTATATTCCCAGCTACTTGGGAGGCTAAGGACCAATAATCACTTGAACCCAGGAGGTGGAGATTGTAGTGAGCTGAGATTGCACCACTGCATTCCAGCCTGGGTGACAGAGCAAGACTCTGTTTCAAAAAAAATTAAAAATTTAAAAAAAATCACTAGCATTTCTATCCAGCAACAACATCCAGGCTGAGCATCAAATCAAGAATGCAATCCCATTTACATAGCCATCAATAAAATGAAATGCTTAGTAATATAGCTAATCAAGGAGGTGAAAGATCTCTACAAGGAGTACTACAAAACACTGCTAAATGAAATCACTTATGACATGAATAAATGAAAGAATAAACCATGCTGATGGATTGGAAGAATGATTATCATTAAAATGGCCATACTGACCAAAGTGATCTACAGATTCAGTGCATTTCCTATCAAACCACCAATGTTATTTTTCACAGAATTAGAAAAAATCTATTCTAAATTTTATGGAACCAAAAAAGAGCCCAAATAGCCAAAGCAATCCTAAGCAAAAGTAACAAAGCCAAAGGCATCATACTACCCAACTTCAAATTATACTGTAAAGCTACAGTAACCAAAAAAGCATGGTTCTGGTACAAAAACAGACACACAGACCAATGGAACAGCATAGAACACTCAGAAATAAAGCTGCACACTTACAATAACAAGATCTTCAACAAGGTCACAAAAACAAGAACATACTATTCAGCAACTGACTAACCATATGTAGAAGACTGAAACTGGACCCCTTCCTTTCACCTTAAAAAAAATCAACTCAAAATAGATTAAAGATTTAAATGTAAGATCTCAATCTATAAAAATCCTAAAAGAAAACCTAGGAAATTCTCTTCTTGACATTGGCCTTAGCCTTGGCAAATAATTTTTGGCTAAGTCCTCAAAAGCAATGGCAACAGAAACAAAAATTGACAAGTAGGACCTAAACAAAAGAGCTTCTGCACAGGAAAAGAAACCAGCAACAGAGTAAACAGACACTCTACTGAACGGGAGAAAATAGTCACAAAGTATGCATCTGACAAAGGAGTAATATCCAGAATTTATAAGGAACTTAAACAAAATAACAAGCAGAAAACAAATAATCCCATTTAAAAAAATGAGAAAAGAACATGAAAAGCAGCTTCTCAAAAGAAGACATATAAGTGGCCAACAAACATGAAAAAATATTCATTATCACTAATCATCAGAGAAATGCAAATCAAAACCACAATGAGATGTTATGTCACACCAGTCAGAATGGCTATTACTAAAAAGTCAAAAAATAACAGATGCTCAGGAGGCTGTGGAGAGAAGGGAACATATATACATTGTTGGTGCAAATGTAAATTACTTCAACTACTGTTGAAAGGAGTTTGGAGATCTCTCAAATAACTTAAAATAGAACCACCGGCCAGGTGCGGTGGCTCACGCCTATAATTCCAGCACTTTGGGAGGCCAAGGCGGGCGGATTATCTAAGGTCAGGAGTTCGAGATCAGCCTGGCCAACATGGTGAAACCCCATCTCTACTAAAAATACAAAAAATTAGCCGAGCATGGTGGCAGGTGCCTGTAATCCCAACTACTCAGGAGGCTGAGGCAGGAGAATCGCTTGAACCTGGGAGGTGGAGGTTGCAGTGAGCCAAGATCGTACCACTGCACTCCAGCCTGGGCAATAAAAGCAAAACTCTGTTTTAAAAAAAAAAGAAAATAGAACTACCATTTGACCCAGGAGTTCCATTACTGGGCATATACCCAAAGGAAAAGAAATAATTCTACTGAAAAAAGAAAAAAAAACCATGCAATTGCATGTTCATCACTGTTCACAATACAAAGACATGGAATCAATCTAGGTGTCCATTAATGCTGAATTGGATAAAGAATATATGGTATATATACAACACAGAATACAACATAGCCAGAAAGAACAAAATAATTTCCTTTGCTGCAATATGAATGCAGCTGGTGTCCATAATCCTGAGTGAATTAACACAGGAAGAGAAAAAACAAATACCACATGTTCCCACTTATAAATATTTAGCACAGGTGGACAAATACATGGGAACAACAGACAATGTGAACTACTAAAGCGGGGAGAGAGTAGGGGCTGTGGATTAAAAAACTACCTATTGTGTACTATGCTTATTACCTGGGTGATAGGATCCATGCCTCAAACCCCAGCATCATGTAATATACCCATGGAGCAAACCTGCACATGTACCCCCTGTATCTAAAATAGAAGTTGAAATTGTAAAAAAGACAAGAAAATTCAACCCTATGTATAAATAAACAGATAAATAAACCAAGTACCACCTCAGTCTTATCTGTTTCCCAAACTAAGCATCTTTACAACTTCTAATTTCTCCCTCAACAAAAATTTTAATTAAAATTATCTATCTATCCATCCATCATCATCATCATCATCACCATTATCTAATTAGAGATTTTCTTGAATCTCTAATTAGCAATTTTTCTTGAAGTTGATACAGGTATGTTTTCTCCCCCCTCCATCCCATGCCAATATTGACAAGGGGTGACACCTGGTAGGGATACAAAGAAGTTAATGGTAAGATTACTACATTGGGCAAGGGCTCCTTTACTCAGTTTCTAATGAAAGCCTTTCTGAAAATATTTGTAATGACCATAGCTATTGGCCAAATTTACAAGCAGAGAAGACTAATTTACTAATACAATGTTATAATTGTGGCTAAAGATCTTATGATTTTTTAAAAGTATTTTTTTCCTCTAATGAAGGCTTTTGATTAGTAATGCTAAGGAATAAATGTGTTCATATTTCACAAGTGTATTTGTATTTCACAAGTTATACTTTTCTTTTTCAATGAGCCATTGAACTTACGGACTTGTTTAATGTATGCAGGGCCTTCTTCACAAAGAGAGAGCATCTCTACTACACGCACAGCCCTGTAGGACATAAATATTATTGCAAGCATTTTGGAACAACTTACTCAATACTATATATACCTCTCCAGAATTTAATTTGGAAGATTTAATTAAAAGTCTCACTAATACAAGTCACCCAGGACTTCGTTTTCTTGTTAAATACCTCTTTGTCATGATTTATCCTGGAAAGAATACAAATAAAGTTCTTGAGACGGTTTTGTAATACAGGATACTCACTTCGCACACTAAGTATATAAAGGAAATAAGCTTTTACATTCTAAACTCTAGGTGCCATTTTCTCTAGTAAATGCTAGCTCCATTTCCTTTATTTTCATATTGGCTCATTATTCCTTATAGTATCATGTGACATATTAAATATGGGTGCCAATTCTTTGACACTCTTTCCATTAAGAGTTGGGTACTTGACTTTAGCTTTAAATATAAGTAGGCTCTGTGATTGATTTGAATCTGTGCCAATTTCTGTGCCCAGGCCAGTCTTTTGGGACCTTCTCTGGGAGAGCTGATCCTCCAGGGAAAACTACCAACTATCCTGAGACAGCCATGCTAGACAACCATCATGTAGGTACTCCAAACAGCAACTGAGACCAAGCACAGCTGCCTGCACCAAAGTGCCAGACCTGTGAGTGAAGCTCTCTTAGATCTTCCAAGACCAGTCCATTCTCCTATGAATCCACTACCAATCCACCCTGTTACTTCAGCTACTGCCAATTGGAGTAGAGAAATTGTCCTGTCAAACTTTCTACAAATTTCTAACCCATAAAATTGTGAAATGTAATACAATGGTTGTTGTTTTAAACCGCTGAGTTTTGGGATAGTTTGCTATGCACTGATACGGAACAGAAACATAAAGCAGTACCTGCTCTTGTAACAAAAACCTAAAATATATAGCACTGATTTTGGGACCAGGAGATAGGCAGAAGTCAGAAGCACTTTGTGGAGACTTCTTTTTCTTTTCTTTTTTTTTTTTTTTGAGACAGAGTCTCGCTCTGTCGCCCAGCCTGGAGTGAAGTGGCACGATCTCGGCTAACTGCAAACTCCACCTCCTGGGTTCACGCCATTCTCCTGCCTCAGCCTCCTGAGTAGCTGGGACTACAGGCGCCTGCCACTATGCCCAGCTAATTTTTTTGTATTTTTAGTAGAGACAGGGTTTCACCATGTTAGCCAGGATGGTCTCGATCTCCTGACCTCATGATCCACCTGCCTCGGCCTCCCAAAGTGCTGGGATTACAGGCGTGAGCCACCGTGCACAGCCCCACTTTGTGGAGACTTCTGTTGAGGGCATGAAAGACAGCAAGGAAATTAGAGGCCAGAGGAAAGGTAATCTCAATGATTAGTGGCAGAGTGTTTGGCAGCAAGGCAGGAGTTATAAGGTTGAAAAATATACCTAATGAACTGGTGGATTTGGCTAAGATTTTTAGGCAGAACATTAAAAAAGTAGCAAGTGGTTTCTTTTATCTGCATATAAGAATGTTTGGATAGAAAAAGATAAGCTTAAAAAACTGCTATAAAGAAAAATTTAGAGAAAATATGAAGGAGGCAAGACTTACTGAATCTAATAATGAAACCATTATCTTATTCCTAGTTTCTCCAGAAAACACAAGATCACAAAATACAAAATTGCCTCTGGACAAATAGCATATCCGAAACACTGCCCCAGTTAAGCAGTAAACATCTACAGAGTGTTACTGTAGGACACTTTGTTGAGACCTCAGAAAGTTTTAAGGGTATGCCAAGTAGAGCTTGTGAGAATCTCAAGGACATGACTCTCAGACTCTCTGTTGCAGTTAAAAGAGGCTCTAAGAATCTTAAGGATTTGCCTTTATTAGACACTAACAACTAAATAAAAAGGCTTTCAAGAAGCTTAAGGGCATTGTTCTACAGCACCCTGACTCTCAATCAACTGTACAGAACAGCCTCTCTCTGAAAGAAACATGGGTGTAGCTTTTGTTTAATAGGGTAGATTTATAATATGATACACTGCAGATCCACAAAATTTTAAAAGAAATTATATCGGCTTGGACGGAAACGGACAGCATAAAATGAAATTAGACCTATAATTCTCAATCTTCTACAGCACAGGAAGCAGGCTGAGAGGGCTATTCAGTTTTAAGCACAGGCCATTTCTCATTTCAAAGAATGAATGACTCAGGAGCAGCAATGTATAGATATTATACCATATAGCATTTTTTCTCTGGATGAAATCAAAATTAAAAAAAATTAAAATGTAATATATTTCATCATTAATCATCAGAGAAATAGAAATCAAAACCACAATGAAATATCATCTCATAATTCATTAGGATGAGCATTATAAAAATAGTAATTTAAAAAACAGAAAATAACAAGTGTTGACAAAGATGTGCAGAAAATGGAACTCTTGTGCACTGTTGGTGGAAATGTAAAATGGAAGCCATTATAGAAAACAGTTTTTAGCTTTCTTGAAAAATTAAAAACAGAACTGCTGTATAATCCAATGATCCCACTTCTGGGTACTTATCTCAAATAATTGAAAGTAGAATCTTGAAGCAATATGTTTATTGAAGCAATATGTTTATTGCAGTGCTATTCACAATAGCCAAGAGGTAGAAACAACCTCAGTGCCCATCAACATATGAACTGAGAAAATGCAGTATATATATATACAATGGAATATCATTCAGCCTTAAAGGAAATTCTGTTATATACTACTATATGATGCAACCTGGAGGACATTATGCTAAGTTAAATAAGCCAGTCACAGAGGACAATATTGCATTATTCCACTTACACGAGGTATCAAAAATAGTCAAACTCAGAGAAGCCAAGGTAGAGAGATGGTTGCCAGGAGCTGGGGGTTGGAGGTTGGGAAAGGAATGGCAAGTGCTATTCAGTGAGTATAAGTCTTAGTCATGCAAGATGAGAAAGCTCTAGAGATCTGCTGTACAACAATGTATTATATATTTAAAATTTAAGAGGGTAGATCTCATGTTATGTGTCTGTTATCACAATAAAATACATAATAAAAATCTAATATGTTTTAAAATCACAAAGTATTACAACTTCAAAATATGTTAAAATAATCAAGGGCAGCTAATCTAATGGAAAGCATGTTTTTATCATAAATTAGTTCAAATACTTTTTTAAATAAGTAGGTGAGTTAAGAGTTAAATGAGCAATCAAACAATTCAAAGTTTATGGTCTTTTTATAGATCCATGTATAAAGTGGGGCTTTTAAGAGCAGTTTTCTCTGTATCAATAGCTGTGCTCCCCTTCATGGGCTAGGATAGAATTTAATCATACCACACCATTACAACGTGTGAGAGAATTTATGTAAACCTGTGCTGACAGATGGAAAGGTTGATAATGGAAATAATACATTCCCTTTCCCTACCATGCTCCTCAACAAACCCCATGTTTCATATTTATAAGAACTGCCATGTTTTTGTTATTATCAATATTTACTAAATCTCACTGCCACCTTTTTACAGCCCCCGCACCCCCCCCCCACCCCCCCACACACTGAGAGAGTTAAGAGTTGATGGAGGTGAGGAGTAAAAGGTTTAACTCAGTTCATGCTTGCAACCCTAAACTCAAGATCAGTATAGGTATAGAAATCTATAATTTTCCCTCATTTATTGTAATGTACCAGGCAAAGTCAAAAGAAAGATCATTTTTGGTATGGGAGATTCATGAGCAAATCATATTATGTGTCTTTGAAAGTGCATAATATATTGGAGACGCATGAGGTATATTGGCTACCTTAGTGAGACACAGGAATAATTCTACTTCTCCAAAGAAAGTTCCCTCTACATTGTATCCTTTACAGAGAGTCCAATACTCTTAAGCTAATCAATGCAGTTTTCATAGTGTCTGCTTCTGAGTGTCTGTCAAGAGGAGGAGCTTGCAATATGCTTTGCAAGCAAAGTGCAAAGAACCGCATAAAGTGGCAGTAATATTTTGCTCTTGATTATTCAACTTTAACTATGATCTTTTGCATTGCTTGGAGGCAATTACTTGAATTATCTCTCTGGAGGCTAAACTGATGATTCTGCATTTCCATATCATCTCTCTTCTTGCTGGCTCCCAAAACAATGCTGTTTGGTCTGCATGTGGCCATATGAGAAGGCCATAGAGCTGGAAGAGTCAGGATGGCTGTCTTTGATTTCCCTTAGGTAATTCTATAGGGCCACATGGAAGCCTGACTGTTCCTGCTTTGTAAAAATGCACAAGTCTGAAACAACACAAACCACTGGCTATTCTCATTCAAATAAGATACTTTAATTGTTTTCTGGTAATAGAGCAAACTAGCATACTATTTTCAAATTAGAGCACTCTGCTGGCATAATTGTAAAGTCACACAATATAAATAATCAAGAATTCTGTTCTATCTGTGGCTTATTATGGTTTCTTTACATCTTTGTTTTTAACGCAATGGCAGTGGATTGCTCATACTAACACTTAGAGGACACTGTCCAGCTGAGCTTGGTCAATGCTTCCAGAAAGGGATCCTCCTTTAGCGGAGAATATAACACAGTGTTTAAAAGCCCAGAATTGAGTTAGATGGACTGATTTAAATTATGCTCTATACTATGTCCTGATCTCGGGCAAGTGTCTTAACTTTGCCCTGTTTCTTCATCTGTAAAATGAGGATAATAGTAGCACCTACATTCTAGGAGTATTTTAAGGATTAAATGTATGCTCCATATAAATTATTTTGAATAGAACCCAAATACTAAGTGGTCAATACATTTTAGCCTGTGATATTTATTTTATTTGTCCCTACCCTTCACAAGAAAGCATTTGGTTATTGAATTGAAAGTGACATGAAGAGCTAAGTAAAAGGCATGACTTCTGTCCAGCTTAGACAGCTCAATTTTCTCCATGAAGATCCTGTAGAGGATCCTGCATGAAGAACTGTTACCTATTGTGTTTTGCATGCAGGATCTGAATACATAGATTTTTCTGAATCATTATATTTAAAGTTGCATGCATATAAATGCTTTGGCCTCTTTCCTAGAAAACTCGGGTACTCTCCTGGGGTGATCTTGTGATTTCCAGATGCATTCAGAAAACTCAATGCAGCTGCTATCTACTATTGACCAGCCAGCACTGGCTCCACTGTGCTAAACAGGAAGGAGCCCTGGGAGGGAAGTGGAGAGTTGAATGTCACATGAGTTAGCAAAGGCTTTCTTGAACTTACATCATGTTTAATTGTATCAAATGCTGTTCATTGTGTGGTTAGGCTCGTGGTGCTTCTTGGATGAAGGAACAAGGAGAAAAATTACTGGCATCTGAAACAAAACCAGAAGTCTCTGTTTATTTGGGACCTCAAATTAGACTTGAGTCATAGGATTGTCAAGTTGCTTATGCTGGAGTCAGCTGGGCTGGTTGGCTTCTTATAATGCAATAGACAATTCTTATTTAATCCTACTGTCTCATAAAAAAATTGAGAAAAGACAGGTTCAGAAAGCAAGACTTGATGAGTTAAAACACCATTTTAGTTTCAAGTCTTAAAATTATACTGGGAGTTTTTCTGCATATTTTAAGGCTCTGTTGAATTTTGAGAACATTCTACAGTATAAAAGCTCAGGTGTATCCTCAAGACACATTTCTGGATTCCAGGGCTGTCCTTTAAACAAATGTGCTCTAAGAATTCTCTCTATAAATTTGTCACTTTAGGAAATCATCAGAAAAATATGAAAAAGAAAGGCTCATCACTGAGATTTTTCATTCTTGTTAGAGGGGACTGTTAAGCTTCAGGAAGGCTGTGATACTCAAAATATAGGTCTTAACTCATGATATATGTAGTGCTTTATTATATATTATAATTATAATTATAATATTATATATATTTATTCCCCATTAAAATGGGGAATAATGCAAAGACATCCAGGCACATGGGTTTGGTTTCAGAATATTTTCATTTTTTATTTAATTTCTGCCACTTAATACCTGTGAGACCCTGGATTAGTCACTTGAGTCCTCTAAATATCAATTTTACTCTGAGACATGTAAAGACAGCATTATCTCACACTCTACAGGTGCTATGTGGGTACATAATAGAAACAGGATACTGTAAGTTGGAATGAAGAAGCCATAACTCCTGGGTCTGTGATCTCACGGTTTAATATCATCAAAATTTAAATTAGAGAAGATAAGTGAAACTTCTTTGATACTTTTTTTGGCTCTCAGTATTAAGCGATTTCAATTTTGCAAGTCGTTTTCACATCTGCAATTTTCTTTAGCAGGATGACATTCAATGAAAGGTTGACTATGCATTGGGTAGGCAGGGCTTTATAAAAACCTTTCTTATAGCTTTCAGTTTCAGCTAAATTAAATTTATTTTTGTTTTGAAATGAGAGTTGTTCAAGGATATAAAGGTAAACCTCTGGAATTTGGTAGTTTCATATCAATGGGACTATTTACACAGAGGCCAGAAAGTTCCCTTGTACTGCTCATGCCGATCAGATTCATAATATTAGAGATGACTGTGATTGGATGATATCAACTGCGGTGTTGATGATGCACTTTTCCTGGGCTTCCTTACTGTCTCATGACCATGCTACATTTTGGCTCTAAAAGGATCTTCTCTTCTCCTCGAAGGGAGGTAGAAGCAGAGAGGAAAAATTTCAAATTAATGGCAATCTTTAAAACCTTCAGACTAAAAATATGATAGAAAGTGCAGTTGGGTAGAACCAATATATTTCCTCTTATCTACCCTTTATTTCCACTTTCAACTGGTTTTTCAAAATAATGTAATTTTGAACTGTAATGGGTGAAGAGAATTAAAGGAGAGAAGCAAGAGACAGACACTATTGAGACTCTCAGAGGAAAATGTCTGTATCTGACCACCTTGAGCTTAGTCTCCTCAGGTTAGCATGTCAGGAAGGCGAGTGGCAGCATTTCCCACTCCATCCCAACATGGTGTAGTACCTGCAGAGTATAGGATTCCAGGGAAGATGAAGGGCAGTCAAATCTTCATGTGCCTCAAAGGAGGACACTGGAATTAGCTGTGAGTAGAAAATGTGTAATGTGGAGGTGCGTAAGATGAAAAATTAATGGACTGAGGGCCAGAGACCAGTAAGACCAGGGACATTATCTTAACAGATACAAGTATGCAGGGGTGACTTCTCTGAAGAAATGATTTTCATCACAGTGGATGTCAAAGGAAACCAAAATATTTCACCCCAAAATACACTTCCTCAATACATTTTGGCACGGCTGTTCAGAGGGCCCAAACAGAAGTAGCCCTGCAAATCTGTCTTTTGTGGGGGAGATTTGCATCTGTAGAGAAATAAAGTGAAGTAAACAAAAGATGCAAACAAGCTTTCTCTGAAGCCCCCCTTGTCCAGGTCTAGGAAAGATGAACTGAGAGTATGAACCTTTAAAGATCTGAGAGAAATATTCACCATCTATTCTCTCTGAGGGCTGCTACCTGCAAGCTTTCATCTACACCACAAGACCACCTTTGCTAGCCAGGTTTCTCCTCTTCTTCCTCTCATATAACTTGTCTTGCCATGCTCTAAGCTCCCCTATTCTTTCTGTAACCTCAAGATGGTATAAAAGTGTCAACCATCTTGCCTTTCTTTGAGTTCTTATATTTTGCGTGACTCCTGCGCCTGTCAATAAATTTGAATATCTTTTCTTGTGTTAATCTGCTTTTTGCAATGGATTTCTTTTAGCAAACCTTCAGAGGATAAAGGGAAATTTTCCCTTGGCCCCTACATTGCCAGCATGCATCGGACACCTCTCTGGATGCTGTAGCCTTGTACTTCCTATAACAAAATGTCCATTTTGGAGATGAGAAAGGAAAGATCCTGTTTCAACTGACTGTAAATCTGAAAATGACTAAGACTTGTTTGAATCATGTTTTTATTGTCAGTCAGAATAGGAATTTGAAATTCAGATGAATATGAGCTATATAAAAATGTAGTTACACTTTATTTTGCACTGTTTGTAGTCTGATACATTGATGCTGACTTTACAGATCATTTTTTCAACCTGACTGCCTAGAATTACAGTCTGAACAATCAGAAGCTTCCTGGTATTAATCATATTTCTCCAAATGACTTTATTATTTGGCTCTTGTTTTAATGTTTTGCTTGTGTCTTTCATTATGTGATTCCTTTAAATTCTTTTTGAAAGTACTATAAATGAAAACAAATTTGGGCATTGAACCGAAAATTCTTGATTGTGTTGAACTTTGATACTACTTTTCAAAGAAAATAGCCCTTTTGCTTGTTTGTTTGTTTTAGAGACAGAGTCTTGCTTTGTCACCCAGGCTGGAGTACAGTGGTGCAATCATAGCTCAGTGCAGCCTCAAACTCCTGGGCTCAAACGATCCTCCTGTCTCAGTCTCCTGAGTAGCTGGGACTACAGGCAGGTCACCACTATGCCATGCTAATTTTTTTACTTTTTGTAGAGATGGGGTCTCACTATGGTGCCCAGAGTAGTCCTGAATTCCTGGCCTAACGTGATCCTCCTGCATTAGCTTCCCAAAGTGTTGGAATTCAGGCATGAGTTACCATGGCAGGCCAGGAATAGCCTTTTTTTAAAATTTTTTTCCTTTTTCTTTTTTTTTTCTTTGATGGAGCCTCACTCTTTGGCCCAGGCTGGAGCACAGTAGTACAATCACAGTTCACTACATCCTCGAACTCCTGGACTCAAGTGATGCTCTTGCCTCAGTTTTCCCAATAACTGGGACTACGGGCACACGGCCCCATGTCTGGCTAATTCTCTATAGAGATAGGGTCTTGCTATGTTTTTCAGGCTGAAACAGCTCTTTAAAAACTTGATAAACTAGTAAATTAATTAGCACATTAAAATTAGTGAGAAACAAGAGCCTACAAAATGGAAAGTTAATACATAATACCAACAAACAGTTGGCTTGTGCTCATTTTTCTGACATTTGATGTTAAGTGTATCTCTGACCTAAACAGACTAGGTGTACACATGACATCACTTGCTTTTGGCCAGCAAACCTGGACTTTATTCCTTTTACAGAATCACTATTAAAATAAATGAAAAGCTCAAAGGAATTTTACCACTGAAATGTTATCAGAGGACTCATAACTGTTCATGGTTAAAAACTCACTTCATCATTAACAGCAGCAGCAGCAGAAATGAGTACATCCTTGGTGGTCTGCCAGGTCCAAAGGCTATCTGGAAATATATTCTGAATGTGAAATAGGTTAATTAAGCTCATTGTTCCCTGGCTGTCACTCTAAGGGACAGCAGGGAGGTACCGGCTGTGTGCCTAACTAGGTTGGGTAGCAAACTTGAATCCTTCCCACCCCTGAATGTGCATATAAAATGTGGGTTGCCTGCCAAGGTCAGGACTACAAGATAAATTTCTGTACATAAACATAACATATAAATGGAGGATTAAAAGCTCATTAAGATGTTGTGAGGAGGATAAAGAGAGAAGAGCAAAGCAAAAGGAAAAGCAATGGCTTGCATGTGTGTCTGTTGCTAATGACCTTTATTTAATCAAAGCTACTTGATTCAGAGGATATCCACGTTGCTCAAGAGGAATGCTTCTTGTTGTATAAAAGCCTGTACGAAATCGTTTTCCCCCAGTGTGAGTGCTCTGCTCTGCCCCCGTTGGGTTCTTCCACCCTGTGTGGCTGGAGCCTCCCTTCTGGTAGCCTCAGGAAGGCAGTGGCTCTGCTTGCTTGTTTCATGTGCTGCCACTTCTCAAGTCCTGCTCTCACCTGTTTCTTTTAATGACACTGGAATAGGAAATATGGGAATCCTTTCCTTACCATGCTATTGTACTTCAAAACAACTACTTCTTTTGACAGAATTAAAGTGCAGTATATTTAGGGAATGAGCTAACATTGCTCTCCGTGTCTCTGCAAGTCTTTGAAAAGATGAATGGGTACTGCTTGGCCCCCTCAGACACTATACTGATCTTTTCATAACCCTTTTCCTTGCTCTTCCCAACTCCAGACCTAAAATGTGCACTGTGAATACCTACAATAGGTCCTTGGGAGCCAAAAGGACCATTGGTAACAATAGGAGAAACAAGACAAACATTTAAGTTTCCTAACTCCTTGTTCAGTGTTCTTTTCCCACTTGGTTAGAGTTCAGACCCTCCACTTACCCAACACTACCAACTCCACCCCTAAACCCAGACCCCAAGCCCCAACTGAGCTGCAGATGTAAATACAGTTTCCGGGGGAGCTTGCTTAACAGTTGTTAAATTATAATGAAAAAAATCAGAGTTTGCCCCATTTAGAGGATTTTGCAAAATGATCTCTCTGAGTCCCTGGAATATGCACAGCAGCAGCAAAGAAAAATGTCAGCATTAATTTGATATGGCTTTTTGTTGCAAGCAGGACTGCTCATTAAAAGCTTAAACAGGTGGCAGGTTTGGCAGCCCAGTGTGTGTATTCTATGTACAGATTTATTATGCCTTTCATTTTAAAATATTTGTGCCGAAACAGACTCAGTGAGATGAATTATCTTGTTCACAAGAGCATTCTGTTCAAGGCTGCTATGATAACTGCCATATCAATCAAATTATGCAATGAAAACTTACCATCAATTTTATCATCATTATCAATTATTTATAACTTAGGAAACTGTTTTCATTTCTTCTCCATTTTGATTTTGTTATCTTCCAGGAAACTTTTACCTCACAGTGGGAGACAGTGTCATAAAATAGGGACTGTATACAGGATGTCACTTCAGTTGCTGAGGTCCAGGGCAGGAGTCAGATATGCATTTCAAAGCAAACATAATTACATATGAACAGCATTGGCTCTAACCATCCTGCCTGATGACTTTGAGTGGATAGGAGCACATAAACATCAGAGGAATGTTCAAACAATAAGGCAGCTTTGCTTTGTCAAATGAGATGAGCTACAAGCCAACTGAAGCTCAACATAATGTCAAGCAAAGCAAAGCGCACACTTCAGTCACCGCCAAGCCCTTACATGGTTGGAATGACTCCATAGGCTCAATGTAATCACTTTTCCAGGAGCTGGGACTTTCTACTGGCAATGCCCACCATCTTGGGAAGGCGGATCTCACCAACTTTAAATGTTACGGGAAATCTTTTGTTAGAAGGTTATCCATAAATTGTTACCCCGCAATCCAGTGTCTCACAGACCCTTCCAGGTTCTTTTGGCCACTGCAGTATCCAGGGTTTCAGGCACATTAACCATTCTGCCCTTCTGTTAGATTTATTTTCATTCTGGCCTGCTAATGCCACTTCCCACAGCTGCAGAATACATGCTGAATCTCCCTGGAAGCATACTTTCCTATAGAAAACATTCATAGAGGACTAGAAAGGGTAGATGATACAACGTGCATTTCTCATTTGGACTCTTGCCTGACTTCCATGAAGGAAACCCTGATTATGTACAGTATTGTCTTAGCTAAGTATCTCAGGGACACATGCGTCATGGTTTTTTTCAACTGGCTTCTCACTTACATAATTGGCCTCCTCTTTCTGCTACATGCAGCCTTTAGGTTTTCACTCCTGCCAAAGGACAATGCTTACCAGTCTTTACTTGCTTGTTTTTTCCTCACCAGAGGTGTCCTCTCCTATATTGTAAACCAGATCAGTTATCTTTCTTCAAAATACTGCTCAAGAATAAGCTCCATGACAAGTTTTCAGCAGAACCCTCTGATTACAAATTGTTACAGCTGCCCCATGCTTGTGACGAGATCTGTGCAACTCTAATTGGCTAGACGTACATTTGTTTGTGGCTATTTTTGGCTTTGTTTTTGTCCCCATAATCCATAAGGAACTCTCAGACAAATAGTAACAAAAAGTTTACCTCAGGCAGATCCATCAGGTCAATTCAAGATGGTTATAGGAGTCATGGAATGTGAATAATTAGTTCAAGGTTTACAAGGTTAATCCTGGTATATCCTGCATAGCAACATTACACAGATTGGCACATCCTTACATGACAATGAAAGGTGCCATTAACTCATTGATTTTCACAATTAGTCTTATATCAAAAGGACATAGGACTTGGAGTTAAAATGACTGAGTTCTAATCCTTGCCATATCTCTGCTTACTAACTGTGTGATGTTAAGCACACTGTGGCAACTGCAAATGCAAATTGACTTAGATAAGTTATACATGCATTTATGAAAGTATAAAATATAAAGGGTGATTTATTGATTTAAAGATTGATGTTGCCACCATATATCAAAAAGATTTTGTATTATTCTGGGGTAAATAATAAAACAATTCATATAATCTCCCTAAAAGATGAGTGCATCTTTGACAGGGAAGATAAACAGTCTGAATTTGAGAGTTAGAGAACTGTTCAGCAAGACTGCTTGAATTTGCCTACTTTTTTCCCTTTTAACTAGGCTGGCAGAAGAGAAAGAAACACCATTATTTCTGCTATGGCAGTGGTTCTTAAAGTGTGATCACTGGTCCTGCAGCATCAACAGCATCCAGGAAAACTGTTGGAAACGAAAATTATTGGGCCCCACCGCAGATCTACTGAATCAGCCCTCCAGATGGTTCTGATGAATGCTAAAGATTGAGAACCACTGCGTGGACCAGTACACTGGGGTTTAGTCCCAGATGCCACTAACTTGTTGGGTAAGTCGAGAGCCCAGGCTAGTGTAAGACATCATGAGAGTCTGTGCATTATTAACAACACATTAGTCCAGATTTTCTACCAGTGCAGATTTCTTGTAATGTTATTATTTCCATTAAATACAAGCTACGCAACAAAATGAGATTTTATAAACCTCTGTAGGGAAATTCACAGGTTTCAGAAAAAGTGCTTTGCCAGACTAAGGAACCAGATTTTGGGGTTCTGAAAATACGCCCTGGCAGTTATAAGAAAAAAGACTCTAAGTGACTAAGTAAACTAACCAGAATTTAGCCATCAACTTTCAGAATAACTCAAGGGAAAGTCATCCTCTCAATGCTTAGATCCCCCCACTGGTGTTTCACTTTACCAGTGGGGAGATCTAAGCATTGAGAGGATGACTTTCCCTTGAGTTATTCTGTATTAGAATGATCTCCAAGCTCTTTTCTAGCTCTCCAGGTCTAAATTTGAGACTTCTTTCTTCTCTCTTTCTCTTTCACTCACATCTTGAAAACTGCATGCACAGAATAGAACAGAAGGCATAAAGGAAAGGACAGAGAGAAACACTGACTGAGAAGCAGAGAAAGAAAAGAGAGTTCACAGAGATTTCATATTTTCCAAACCATGGAGTGGTTGAAAGATATCATAAAATTCAGCTGTCAAGTGAGTATGGAAGAGTATCAAAATTTAAGTATTATACAATAAACTGTTTGCATCTTTTAAAAGGAAACTGCATGTAGGTGAGTGGGGACACCTTGAGAGCTTTCTGCACAATTATAAAGGAAGATAAAGAGCTGTCCCAAATAAGGACTGCCCAAGTGCAGAGCTGCGATAGAGAATCTCTGAATCCAGGCCACTAAAGGGAAGTGCACTTGAACAAAAGGAAGGGCAACAGGGTAGCACAGCTGCTATAGACTGAACATTTTCTTTGTGCAAGCTCATGCTTACCTTGTTAAGGGAAAGCCTTCTCTCCAGCTCGATCTATCAAAGCCATGCCACATCCACTGACTAGCCTTGTAAACGTCAAACTCACACTCTCCCAAGTTCAGAAAAGAGAACTAAGTTGAATACCTACAAGAAATCCAGCACCCTCAGAGAAAGAGTTGCATATATTCAATGTATTGTTAAAGATAGGGTGCTATTACACCACTATGGTTGCAGAACATCAAATCAACAGACATGAAGAAAATAAGCACTCAGCAGGGGAGATAATTAATTACAAAAAGAAAGGCAGCCAGCCTTTGAGAATGCAAGAATTCAGCATTTCCCATTTCTCCTTTCCAAGTGTTTTCAAATAAAGTTTTTTCCCCAGTCCTCATCCTGATTGACACTTAGCATCAAATGTTTCCCCACCATGGAGAAATCCACACAACCAGCTTCTTCCTGTACCACCAGAGCCCAGCTGGAACCAGGAATACCTCTCTTTTTGGTTTGTGCTAAAACAGATGAGTAGCCAAGCTTTGCCTGCTGATGAAGAGTAATAATCACGCTGGTAATGGGAAGATTCTGCCTTAACTCAACTGCCAAGATCAGCCTGTGCAACTCCAACCAAAGGTAGGATGGGACGGATAGGTAGGAGGAGGATACTGAAATATAATCATTCTTATCAGTGTCTTCATTGTGACATCTGTGTGTATTCTATGCTTTAACTGAAACAAAGTTAGGAAGTCCGAGAGTTGAGAAACCACTTGCTCACTCCCAAAGGAAAGCTAGACTAAAAGGAAACAGAAGTTAAAAGTATTTCAAAAACAAGAGAGGTTTATAGCCGGAAATTGAAAGGGCCTCATCTGGCCACAACATGGCTTAATTAAACATTGCCTCTCCCTAGTTCATTCCAACTCCACTCAGATTTTCTCTCAATGTTCTTTTTTCTTTATGTACAGGGCTAAGTATTTTTAAGAGAAATTTAATCCATATGGTTTCTGATTCATTTACACACATAAAACTCAACAGAATGACTCCTGGTGTGCAAAAAGTTCTCTGAGCCTGTTTCCTCCTTAGGAACAGAAAACTGTGTTGTGTTCACATTAAACTCATTCATTTTTTCATGGGTTAACATTTCACTCAAAAGCTTGGGGCCCAAAACGATGGAATGTATTGAAGGTTGGTGAACTCAGCTCCTCAAATGGAAAAAAAAGCACCTACTTACTTCAGACCCTGGGTCTTTGAGGTTTCTCAGTGTCCATTTTTAGGAATAGTTCTGCATGTGTCCAATAGTACATTTGTAGCACATTCTTCTTTTTAGTAGAGGCATTATTAAGAGGTATCCATTTTTATAGGCAATCCTACCCTTCAACTATAATTTCCTAGCTTCAGAAGTCAGTGTAAGAAAAGTTCTACAGAAAGCTCTG
The DNA here is from genome assembly GCF_000001405.40 of Homo sapiens. Classification (NCBI taxonomy): domain Eukaryota; kingdom Metazoa; phylum Chordata; class Mammalia; order Primates; family Hominidae; genus Homo; species Homo sapiens. The sequence continues at coordinate 85,671,702 of NC_000004.12, read as the reverse complement.
CTCTGAATCACATAAATATACTGGATACATAAAAAGTATTTTTGGAGATTCCAGAAGAAAAAGAAGCATATTCTTAACAGAAATGGAAGGCCTGTGCTCATAGCTCCAAAACAAAAGTCTACAGCTAAAACCTCTCTTTATATATACCTCCTGTCTTCTTCAACCACAAACTTTGTTGAATCACTTCTATTCATCCACACATCTTTTACTTTACTTGCATTTTCATTTGACAAATATTTATTTCATTACCTACTTTGAGCCAAGCCACTGGAATATAAAAATCTAAATATTCATTTGATTTCTTAGGAGGAAAGATGCCAACAAATATATGATAATTATTATAATGGACCTGTGGTTAAAATATAGAGGAAACACAGGGAAAAAATACCATGTAATACTTGCTGAGAAGTGCAGAAAGGCTTAGAGAAAGCAAAGCTAGAAAGATAGTCAGGCTTTTTGCAGGTGGATGAATCAAGGGAAGGAAAGGCTATTTAGAGGTAGCATTTAGTGTAAAGGCACCGAGGCATTAAAAAAATTGTGTTTTGCAAACTAAACAGAGTTCAGTATCGATGAAGCAAAAAATACAAGGTGTCATCTAAGAATATTCAAGAAAGGGGCCCAATAACGTAGGGTTCTATATGTCATACAAAGTAATTTAGATTTATCTCGTAGGTCAGTTGTGCTCAATTGAGTGTGACCATTAGAATGATCTGCGAATCCTTTTTTCAAACACACACTTGGGCCCCAATCCCAGAGATTTCCAATTTTGTAGGTCTTGGGTAAAGACTTTTATGTACATTTTCTTAAACATTCATGGCCCATGTCCCTGTTTGAGAACTGCCTGAGGCTCATAGGGGCCACTGAAGTATTCTAAACATGGGAAACCCATGATCAGCTTGACTATTAGTTGGTCCTTTTGTGGACAATGTGAAGAAAATTTTGCAAATGATCTAAAGTACAGGGAGTGGCTTAAAGGCAATGCAAACTTTCCAACAAGAACAAATGTAGTCCTAAGTTAAAGGATGGCAAGAGGCAAGGCAAGAGAGTTTGAAATAAATAATAGTAATTCAGTCACAAAGAATAAATGAACTAAAACTATACCCCCTCCCTCCTTTCTGGTGTGGTGACACCATTCTCCAAGAAAAGAGACACAAAGAGAAGACAGAGGACAGAAAAAAGTGAGCTCAAGTTCTCAACTGTTCAGTTGATTGGATTCAGAATATAAATTATGTAGGAGATTGAGAACGTATTAATTTAATATGCCCTAGAGCTTTCTGCTCTGTTTGCAGTATTGGTGATTCAAGAGTGGCTTTATTTGAATTGGCTAACGTAGCACTTATTAAGATTTCACAGTTCCAAACACTATGGGCAAGATGTAATTCTAACTTAAGTCAAATAAATGGCAAACAGAATCACTCTATCCTAACCTGAAGGTTGACAGGATATGAAGTAGGCAACCTAAGAGAATTTTTCTCACATCCTAATCTCCTTTTCTGTCTTTGCTGGCACCATCAGGCACCGTGGTTCATGTTCAGCTTATTTATGCAGCCAAACAAGCTTGGCAGTTTATTGGAGAGGAAAATGGCTGAGTTAAATATTATTGAAGTAGGAAAAAATATTCCTGGGGTAAAATAAAGTTTGCAGCCACCCCATTCCAACTGAATAAAAATTCCTTTCCACAGCTCACACCCCTCTCTCCTCCTCCCACTTTTCTAGTCTCCTTCTGAGGATCAGTGCTCTGGGGACCTGCACTAAAGCCCCAGAAGAGGTGTTGACACATGTTCCTACCCAAGTGGATAATTTAGTCACCAATATGCTGGGTTTATTTTTTCTGAATTGCTGCAAATACCTATATCTTTTATTGTACTTTATAGTAGATTCACTAAATTATTCACTAAATTATTTTCCTATTATTATCATCTATGGAAGAGTTCATTCCACTAAATATATGATTAGATTGAAACTTCTGATGCTTCACATAGAAGTTTGTAATATAGCTATATATATCACATATATATATATATATATATATATATATATATATATATATATATATATTTGAAAGTACAGGGTCAATGCAGTCTACCCTGTAACTTTTTAATTCAGATTTTTAATATATATGTAAGCATATTTGTGTGTCTACATGTGTGCGTACCTACATACCTACATACAAACATACGTACCTTTTTATGGGTCATTTCTTCTTTTTAACAGCGCTTCCTCCCATCAAACACTATTTCTGTACTTTTCTTCCAGACTTCCTCTTCCTTATGTGATGTCTAGACTACTGTAAATTGTGACTGCACCAGAAATATTAGAATGGGCCTATTGAGCTGCTGCTACAACACACTGCCACAGTGTGTTGAAAGTATGACCCTGAAACCTAAATCAGGCTTATAGGGTAGAGAAAAGTCAAATAAGTATCAAAATTCCTCAATTACATAACATCATGTTGTTTCTCTAGATAACTTGCCTCAGGAGTGAAGATTGAATTTTGAGGCAATTTCTGCATGGACACCAGTATAAAAGGTGAATTTTGAGAGCTCAGCACCCCTGAGTTTTGTCTACCCAACAATGAATAGTGTGGTCACTGTGCTAAAAGCTGAGACCCCAAAGATACTAGAGCAATTTCTGTCACTCAGTAATGCGATAACAACTCAGAGAATCACACACACACACAAAGGCACATAATGAGAATATTAGAAATTCAACCACTGAACCTAGGACCTAAATCTACCCACTTTCAATGTTCATCTTAGTTCAGACTCTCCTGTCTTAGTTACTTCACCAGGTTTGTAACTGACCTTCTTTACTTTTATCTTTCCATCTCCTTTCTTTTCTCCAAAGCTAGAGCCAGAGAAATCCCTCTAAAGTACATATCCAACATTTTAATTTACAGCTTAAACTCCTCCATGATCCCTCATTGTTCTCTGGGTCAAGTTCCAACTCTTTAACGTGGATTGGATCATGAGGCCTATCATGAAGAACCGCCTGCATACCCCTTTATCTCCTAAACTTCCCCTCTCAAACTCAGACAGAGTAAGATGTTAAAAAAGCCAGGCTCTTTGCAAGGACAGTCACATCTTCTCTCCCTCTTTGCCTAACTCCATCTCATCTTTTGATTCCAGAGTAAAGGTTTCTTCTTCTACTAAGATGCCACTAGCCTCTTCTCTGTGCTACTATAGTAACCTGTACTTGTCAGTGTTTATATAACACTTTAAAAATGCACTCTAATTTTGTATCAGCACCCTTTGCTCTCTTTCATTTTTACCACCAGATCCTTGTGGATATAATTTTATTCTCCTAGTAGCCCCTGTGGCTAGCTAAGTGCCTGCACCCAGTAAATTCTCAATTTCTAGTTGTTGAATAGATAGATGAAGGAATGAAATAAAGCTGTTTAGCATTTTCTGTTTTGCTTTAATGGTCTTTAACCTGACAACAGAGAAAATTACAAATTATAAGTCTGCTGAAAGTGTATGAACATAGTATTAGAGTAAACCAACTAAAACACTGAATGGAAGTTAGGGCAAGTGTAGTTTAATAAGGAACTCATTATACTCTGACTTCTTCTGTTTCTTGTTTTTCAGCCTATCAAAAAGTGCCACTAAACTGAAGGGGATCACAAGAGATAATCTCAAACAGCATTTAAATAAGCCTTGAAATGTCTAACTTTTCTACATTTACAAGACTTTTAATATTTATATTACTCAACCACTTAAGCAAAACATCGTATTTGTTTATTTACCCTTTCCATAAATAATTTTTAGGTGTCACCAGACCCTACGCTCAATTTAAGTGTATTTCCTTTTCCTTGTTTCTTGACATCAATGAGAAAAAAATAGCAATTAAATAATTGTAAACCTCAAGAGAATCAGACAAGTCGGTGGGTAATTTAAGAAATTCTTGTATCCAATAGATTTTTATTTGGCTTTCATGGAAACCTTTAATTCTTTATGATACTGGATACAGAAAAACACAAATATTCATTTAGCTTACTGATCAGTAAAATAACTTATGAACATTAGGGAAGAACAGAGGATAAACAAAAAAGTGCGTGGCAGCCAAGATGGCCGAATAGGAACAGCTCCGGTCTACAGCTCCCAGCGTGAGCGACGCAGAAGATGGGTGATTTCTGCATTTCCATCTGAGGTACGGGGTTCATCTCACTAAGGAGTGCCAGAAAGTGGGTGCAGGACAGTGGGTGCAGTGCATTGTGTGTGAGCCAAAGCAGGCCAAGGCATTGCCTCCCTCAGGAAGCACAAGGGGTCAGGGAGTTCCCTTTCCTAGTCAAAGACAGGGGTGACAGATGGCACCTGGAAAATCGGGTCACTCCCATCCTAATACTGCGCTTTTCCGACGGGCTTAAAAAATGGCGCACCAGGAGATTATATCCAGCACCTGGCTCAGAGGGTCCTATGCCCATGGAGTCTCACCGATTGCTAGCACAGCAGTTTGAGATCAAACTGCAAGGCGGCAGCAATGCTGGGGGAGGGGAGCCCGCCATTGCCCAGGCTTCCTTAGGTAAACAAAACAGCTGGGAAGCTCCAACTGGGTGGAGCCCACCACAGCTCAAGGAGGCCTGCCTGCCTCTGTAGGCTCCACCTCTGGGGGCAGGGCACAGACAAACAAAAAGACAGCAGTAACCTCTGCAGACTTAAATGTCCCTGTCTGACAGCTTTGAAGAGAGCAGTGGTTCTCCCAGCACGCAGCTGGAGATCTGAGAACGGGCAGACTGCCTCCTCAAGTGGGTCCCTGACCCATGACCCCTGAGGAGCCTAACTGGGAGGTACCCCCCAGTATGGGCAGACTGACATCTCACACGGCTGGGTACTCCTCTGAGACAAAACTTCCAGAGGAACGATCAGACAGCAGCATTCGCGGTTCACGAAAATCTGCTGTGCTGCAGCCACCGCTACTGATACCCAGGCAAACAGGGTCTGGAGTGGACCTCTAGCAAACTCCAACAGACCTGCAGCTGAGGGTCCTGTCTGTTAAAAGGAAAACTAACAAACAGAAAGGACATCCACACCAAAAACCCATCTGTACATCACCATCATCAAAGACCAAAAGTAGATAAACCCACAAAGATGGGGAAAAAACTGAGCAGAAAAACTGGAAACTCTAACAAGCAGAGTGCCTCTCCTCCTCCAAAGGAATGCAGTTCCTCACCAGCAATGGAATAAAGCTGGACGGAGAATGACTTTGACGAGTTGAGAGAAGAAGGCTTCAGACGATCAAAATTACTCTGAGCTACAGGAGGAAATTCAAACCAAAGGCAAAGAAGTTAAAAATTTTGAAAAAAATTTAGACAAATGTATAACTAGAATAACCAATACAGAGAAGTGCTTACAGGAGCTTGAGAACTACGTGAAGAATGCAGAAGCCTCAGGAGCCGATGCGATCAACTGGAAGAAAGGGTATCAGTGATGGAAGATGAAATGAATGAAATGAAGCGAGAAGGGAAGTTTAGAGAAAAAAGAATAAAAACAAACGAACAAAGCCTCCAAGAAATACAGGACTATGTGAAAAGACCAAATCTACATCTGATTGGTGTACTTGAAAGTGATGGGCAGAATGGAACCAAGTTGGAAAACACTCTGCAGGATATTATCCAGGAGAACTTCCCCAATCTAGCAAGGCAGGCCAAAATTCAGATTCAGGAAATACAGAGAAGGCCACAAAGATACTCCTCAAGAAGTGAAACTTCAAGACACATAATTGTCAGATTCACCAAAGTTGAAATGAAGGAAAAAATGTTAAGGGCAGCCAGAGAGAAAGGTCAGGTTACCCACAAAGGGAAGCCCATCAGACTAACAGCAGATCTCTTGGCAGAAACCCTACAAGCCAGAAGAGAGTGGGGGCCAATATTCAACATTCTTAAAGAAAAGAATTTTCAACCCAGAATTTCATATCCAGCCAAACTAAGCTTCATAAGTGAAGGAGAAATAAAATCCTTTACAGACAAGCAAATGCTGAGAGATTTTTGTCACCACCAGGCCTGCCCTAAAAGAGCTCCTGAAGGAAGCACTAAACATGGAAAGGAAAAACCGGTACCAGCCGCTGCAAAATCAAGCCAAATTGTAAAGACCATCGAGGCTAGGAAGAAACTGCATCAACTAACGAGCAAAATAACCAGCTAACATCATAATGACAGGATCAAATTCACACATCACAATATTAACTTTAAATGTAAATGGACTAAATGCTCCAATTAAAAGACACAGACTGGCAAATTGGATAAGGAGTCAAGACCCATCAGTGTGCTGTATTCAGGATACCCATCTCACGTGCAGAGACACACATAGGCTGAAAATAAAAGGATGGAGGAAGATCTACCAAGCAGATGGAAAACAAAAAAAGGCAGGGGTTGCAATCCTAGTCTCTGATAAAACAGACTTTAAACCAACAAAGATCAAAAGAGACAAAGAAGGCCATTACATAATGGTAAAGGGATCAATTCAACAAGAAGAGCTAACTATCCTAAATATATATGCACCCAATACAGGAGCACTCAGATTCATAAAGCAAGTCCTTAGTGACCTACAAAGAAACTTAGACTCCCACACAATAATAATGGGAGACTTTAACACCCCACTGTCAACATTAGACAGAAAAACGAGACAGAAAGTTAACAAGGATATCCAGGAATTGAACTCAGCTCTGCACCAAGGGGACCTAATAGACATCGACAGAACTCTCCAACCCAAATCAATAGAATATATGTTTTTTTTCAGCACCATACCACACCTATTCCAAAATTGACCACATAGTTGGAAGCAAAGCTCTCCTCAGCAAATGTAAAAGATCAGAAATTATAACAAACTGTCTCTCAGACCACAGTGCAATCAAACTAGAACTCAGGATTAAGAAACTCACTCAAAACTGCTCAGCTACGTGGAAACTGAACAACCTGCTCCTGAATGACTACTGGGTACATAACGAAATGAAGGCAGAAATAAAGATGTTCTTTGAAACCAACGAGAACAAAGACACAACATACCAGAATCTCTGGGACGCATTCAAAGCAGTGTGTAGAGGGAAATTTATAGCACTAAATGCCCACAAGAGAAAGCAGGAAAGATCCAAAATTGACACCCTAACATCACAATTAAAAGAACTAGAAAAGCAAGAGCAAACACATTCAAAAGCTAGCAGAAGGCAAGAAATAACTAAAATCAGAGCAGAACTGAAGGAAATAGAGACACAAAAAAACCCTTCAAAAAATTAATGAATCCAGGGGCTGGTTTTTTGAAAGGATCAACAAAATTGATAGACTGCTAGCAAGACTAATACAGAAGAAAAGAGAGAAGAATCAAATAGACACAATGAAAAATGATAAAGGGGATATCACCACCAATCCCAAAGAAATACAAACTATCATCAGAGAATACTACAAACACCTCTACGCAAATAAACTAGAAAATCCAGAAGAAATGGATAAATTCCTCGACACATACACTCTCCCAAGACTAAACCAGGAAGAAGTTGAATCTCTGAATAGACCAATAACAGGCTCTGAAATTGTGGCAATAATCAATAGCTTACCAACAAAAAAGAGTCCAGGACCAGATGGATTCACAGCCGAATTCTACCAGAGGTACAAGGAGGAACTGGTACCATTCCTTCTGAAACTATTCCAATCAATAGGGAATCCTCCCTAACTCATTTTATGAGGCCAGCATCATCCTGATACCAAACCTGGGCAGAGACAAAATCAAAAAAGAGAATTTTAGACCAATATCCTTGATGAACATTGATACAAAAATCCTCAATAAAATACTGGCAAACTGAATCCAGCAGCACATCAAAAAGCTTATCCACCATGATCAAGTGGGCTTCATCCCTGGGATGCAAGGCTGGTTCAATATACACAAATCAATAAATGTAATCCAGCATATAAACAGAACCAAAGACAAAAACCACATGAGTATCTCAATAGATGCAGAAAAAGCCTTTGACAAAATTCAACAACCCTTCATGCTAAAAACTCTCAATAAATTAGATATTGATGGGACATATCTCAAAATAATAAGAGCTATCTATGACAAACCCACAGCCAATATCATACTGAATGGGCAAAAACTGGAAGCATTCCCTTTGAAAACTGGCACAAGACAGGGATGCCCTCTCTCACCACTCCTATTCAACATAGTGTTGGAAGTTCTGGCCAGGGCAATTAGGCAGGAGAAGGAAATCAAGGGTATTCAATTAGGAAATGAGGAAGTCAAATTGTCCCTGTTTGCAGATGACATGATTGTATATCTAGGAAACCCCATTGTCTCAGCCCACAATCTCCTTAAGCTGATAAGCAACTTCAGCAAAGTCTCAGGATACAAAATCAATGTACAAAAATCACAAGCATTCTTATACACCAATAACAAACAAACAGAGAGCCAAATCATGAGTGAACTCCCATTCACAATTGCTTCAAAGAGAATAAAATACCTAGGAGTCCAACTTACAAGGGACGTGAAGGACCTCTTCAAGGAGAACTACAAACCACTGCTCAATGAAATAAAAGAGGATACAAACAAATGGAAGAACATTCCATGCTCATGGGTAGGAAGAATCAATATCGTGAAAATGGCCACACTGCCCGAGGTAATTTATAGATTCAATGCCATCCCCATCAAGCTACCAATGACTTTCTTTAGAGAATTGGAAAAAACTACTTTAAAGTTCATATGGAACCAAAAAAGAGCCCGCATCACCAAGTCAATCCTAAGCCAAAAGAACAAAGCTGGAGGCATCACGCTACCTGACTTCAAACTATACTACAAAGCTACAGTAACCAAAACAGCATGGTACTGGTACCTAAACAGAGGTATAGGTCAATGGAAGAGAACAGAGCCCTCAGAAATAACGCCGCATATCTACAACTATCTGATCTTTGACAAACCTGAGAAAAACAAGCAATGGGGAGAGGATTCCCTGTTTAATAAATGGTGCTGGGAAAACTGGCTGGCCATATGTAGAAAGCTGAAACTGGATCCCTTCCTTACACCTTATACAAAAATTAATTCAAGATGGATTAAAGACTTAAACGTTAGACCTAAAACCATAAAAACCCTAGAAGAAAACCTAGGCAATACCATTCAGGACATAGGCATGGGCAAGGACTTCATGTCTAAAACACCAAAAGCAATGGCAAAAAAAGACAAAATTGACAAATGGGATCTAATTAAACTAAAGAGCTTCTGCACAGCAAAAGAAACTACCATCAGAGTGAAAAGGCAACCTACAAAATGGGAGAAAATTTTCGCAACGAACTCATCTGACAAAGGGATAATATCCAAAATCTACAATGAACTCAAACAAATTTACAATAAAAAAACAAACAACCCCATCAAAAAGTGGGTGAAGGATATCAACAGACACTTCTCAAAAGAAGACATTTATGCAGCCAAAAAACACATGAAAAAATGCTCACCATCACTGGCCATCAGAGAAATGCAAATCAAAACCACAATGAAATACCATCTCACACCAGTTAGAATGGCAATCATTAGAAAGTCAGGAAACAACAGGTGCTGGAGAGGATGTGGAGAAATAGGAACACTTTTACACTGTTGGTGGGACTGTAAACTAGTTCAACCCTTGTGGAAGTCAGTGTGGCGATTCCTCAGGGATCTAGAAGTAGAAATACCACTTGACCAACCAACCCATTACTGGGTATATACCCAAAGGACTACAAATCATGCTGCTATAAAGACACATGCACACGTATGTTTACTGCTGCACTATTCACAATAGCAAAGACTTGGAACCAACCCAAATGTCCAATAAGGATAGACTGGATTAAGAAAATGTGGCACATATACACCATGGAATTCTATGCAGCCATAAAAAATGATGAGTTCATGTCCTTTGTAGGGACATGGATGAAATTGGAAATCATCATTCTCAGTAAACTATCACAAGGACAAAAAACCAAACACCGCATGCTCTCACTCATAGGTGGGAATTCAACAATGAGAACACATGGACACAGGAAGGGGAACATCACACTCTGGGGACTGTTGTGGGGTGGGGGAAGGGGGGAGGGATAGCATTAGGAGATATACCTAATGCTAAATGACCAGTTAATGGGTGCAGCACACCAGCATGGCACATGTATACATATGTAACTAACCTGCACAATGTGCACATGTACCCTAAAACTTAAAGTATAATTAAAAAAAAAAGTTAGGCAGAAGCTATACATTTGTTAACTTAAATAAAACTTTCACATACCTTATTGTTTTTGAAAATTTGCAAGCCTAGAATAACAAAATAATGGAGGACCATATGAAGACTTGACAATAAACAAACTGTAATAGATTTGAGCCTACGACGTATTTTGTTTTCACCACTCAGAGAAAAAGATAAACCAGAATAATGCTGGAAATTGGGTTGTCCTGCTCCTTCTATGGTTTCTTAGATTCATTCTCCAATTAATGTAATTTCAGTTAACTAAGCTACTTTTTTTATCGGCTGATTGTTAACCAGTCACAATCTGTATTTTGTGTTTCTGACAGTAACCACTCACTGCATTCAACTGCAGAAGCAAAATCACCCACATCACTTTTATAACAAAACATGTTTACAGCAAAATCTGAGTATGTTCCTAATGACTTTTCTAAGTTTGTAACACATATGAATCATCTTTGCAATGTTACTGGTCAAATGTCTGAATTTAGATATCTTAGTAAGAAATAAGAAAAGGAAGATGCATGCTTCAAAGTGTTTGCCTGTGGCTATTTCTGTTTCTGAAGTTTTAATGAAAGTGGTGTAAGTGAAGATGAACTGAAAGTCTCAAAATACCAAATCGGCTACAAATTGAAACTCTAAAAATAATGAAAGGTTATGTCTACCAGCAGCTCTCTAAACAATCCCCATCTACAGATTTTTTTTTTTTTTTTTTTTTTTGAGACGGAGTCTCTCTCTGTCACCAGGCTAGAGTGCTGTGGCGCGATCTCAGCTCACTGCAACCTCCTACTCCCTGGGTCAAGGGATTCTCCTGCCTCAGCCTCCTGAGTAGCTGGGATTACAGGCATGTGCCACCATGCCCAGCTAATTTCTGCATTTTTAGTAGAGATGGGCTTTCACCATGTTGTCCAGGATGGTCTCAAACTCCTGACCTCGTGATCCACCTGCCTCAGCCTCCCAAAGTGCTGGGATTACAGGTGTGATCCACAGTGCTCGGCCAGATTTTCTTTTAAATTAATTCAGCCAATTCCTCTCCCTTCCCTGAGTCTCACTATTTGAGTACTGTAGCCCTGAACATCTGCATTATTGAAACAAGTAGCTGTGAATAAATCACTCTGTTTTGTTATACTTACATGGAGGATACATTTTAAAGCTACTTTTAAAACAGTATTTCAAGAAAAAAAGAAAGTCATTTTGGAAATAAAATCCAAGAAATATTGGTCAATATTAACTAAAGTGTGAGAATTAATTCAATCATTAGCAAGTACATTTTCCTTGCTTCACGGCGGGCAGGCAGGACTTAGGTATTTACTGATTGGCTCCTTCAATATAGGTAAGGAGGGAATAAGAGACAGTCATAACTTAAAAGTTAATTAAGAAATTCAATTGAAGGCACTCAACTGCAAAGTTAAAAGACTTTAAAATCTGAAGTTAAGCACATGCCGTTTTTTCCACATAACCCACCGAGTTTAGATGAGAAGTGATAAGGGCAACTCCCCCTAGCAACAAGTCCTACTGCACTGGTAGCTGCTTGTTCAGCTGCAGGCACTCTAGACTTAAAGGAGGCTATTTCAGAGAACGAATGGAAAGAAACCTATTATTTTTTTAGAGATGGCTTCATAAGGATATTCTAAGTTATCAGAAATGCTGCTTGGGGAAGTGTGTGGTACTACCCCTGGATCCAGAATAGGGGAGGAATGAAAAGAAGAAAGACTTAACATAATTTCCCCTTTTTCTCATTACTGAGTCATTCTTCTACCCTGAAAAAGTCCTCTTCACAAAAAGCAGACTGAGGAGATGAAAGAACTATAATATATTAGGAAACATAGTAATTACAACCCTTATGTGTACTTTAATTATATAATGTGTTCATCAAAATGAAGGGAGATAATTTTCTATTTCTAAGACTAAAATTATATCATTCCAAATAGTGTAATAGAACTAGGGAGGAGAACATTAATATGGCCGCTATATTCATACTTTTTTATATATGTTGAAATACCAGAAGCTATGTTAGGCCTTGTAGATAACACAGGAATATTTTGAGACACAATTTCCATTTTATAGAAATTTAATTTCTAAAGGAATTATTTAAACATTAATTTAACAACAGATAAACTTTAATCTTATTTTTACTTTATGATATTGTAATATTTGACATTGGCCTTGAAAATCTGATAGGCACTTCAAAAAGACAGAACTCTGGTTTCCTTTTTGCAAACTATACTGCACTAGCAGCGCCCTCATTCTGTTACTGGTAGCATCATTCTTTCCTCTGTTCAGGCCAAAAACCTTGGTCCAGAGTTTCTTAACTTCAGCAACGTCAGACAATTCTTTGTTGTAGAGAACAGCATTATATGCTTCATAGGATATTTAACTGCACCCCGGCTTCTACCCACGAGATATCTGTGGTATCTTCCCCAACTGTGACAAGCCAGACACTGTCTCCAGACGTTGTCAAATATTCCTGGGAGAGAAAAATCACCTTCAGTTAAGAGGCACTGTCTCAGAGTTACTACGGACTTGGCTCTCTCTCTGTCACATCCCACATAAATCTCTCAGCAAATCCTATCAGCTCTGCTTCAGAACAGACTGAAAATACAAGAACTTCTTATACCTCTGCTGCTCTCACCTTGACCCAAGCTGCTTGATTCAAATTCTGGATTACTCCAAGGACCCCTATCCTGTCTCCTTGCTTCCACATTTGGCCATGTACATCCTATTCCCAACAAACCAGCCAGACATACTATCAACACATTATAAACTACTCTAAAAGTGAGAAAAAATGGCTTGAGTGATTCCCCATGGTCCATATTCATGACTATACTGTGTGAAAACACGCTAATATTACTATGAAGACAGTCGTGGTAAAATTAGTCTAAATGTTGGCTAGACCTAATTCAGCCCCACATAAAAGATACTTTTACATTCAGATGATCAAAGCAAAGCAAGTATTTATTGAGTGCTTACTGTGTACTTGATCCTACAGTCAGAGCAGAATTTCAGTATAAGAAGCTGGAGATCAAATAATATTTATGAAAATATTTCTACTTTGTACCACAAACAACAGGTTAAAAATAGCACTTTTTACTAGAGCAATTTTTTAAGCAAAAGGTTAAAAAAAATTCTGAGAAGCTCTTTTAATTGGTTTTTATGAAAAAAGGTTTGTCTCAGGGTCTAAAGTAATAAATTTCCAAAAATGATCCGCTACATATTCCTTTAAATTGAATAATTTTGCATTGATTACAGAGAAAAAATGAAGTGGGAAGGCAGATCCCAGGGTCCCAAATGTGATGATTTTAGCTCTTCTAATTATTGAAAATGTAGTTTATAGATACTTTATTCAACATTAATGGAGAGAAAAAGAGTTTGTTCCTTCTTTTGTCAGACTGAAAAAAAGGTCTTAACAAATTGACCAATGAGAATGCAATTGTAAATGAAGAATAATTAAATAACTGGAGGCCGGGCACAATGGCTGACTCCTGTAATCCCAGCATCTTGGGAAGCCGAGGGGGGCAGATCACTTGAGGCCAGGAATTTGAGACCAGCCTGGCCAACATGGCAAAACTTCATCTCCACTAAAAATACAAAAATTAGCTAGGCATGGTGGCACGCACCTGTGGCCCCAGCTATTCGGGAGGCTGAGGTGAAAGAATCACTTGAACCCGGGAGGCAGAGTTTGCAGTGAGCTGAGATAGTGCCGCTGCACTCCAGCCTGGCTGACAGAATGAGACCCTGTCTCAAAATAATAACAATAATTGGAGTTGTGGCATTTCATAAAATTTTTATTTTGTAGTTATCATCTACCCCGGCAATGTTTGCATTTTGCCAAACAAATGAAAATGTTATTCCCTTGCAAAAGTGCCTGGAGGATAAAGTTATTAATTTGCCTAATACCCTGTCTCCATGGGAGAGCAAGCTGACACGAAGTTTTCTAGAAACTACTCTGTTTTGACCATTTTCCCTCTCTATTCCTTTAGAAACACAGTCAAGTGTCATTGCTGGCTAGATATTAAAGATTTTCTGTTAATTTCAGCTCACAAGTTCTGAGACAGGTTAAAAGAGGAAGAAAATTTTTCTCTTGTATTTGAAAAAAAATCCTTCTTAAAGTTATGAAACTTTAAGTTATGAAACTAAAGGTTCAAACTTTAGTTATGAAACTAAAAGGGAAGAACAAAGTAGACCATTCAGAATACATTAACTTTCATCCAAAGGTTTCAGTGTGTTTGGCAGATAGCACATTATTAAAACACAATTCTAATAAGTTCCAAGAAATTCTTCTCCCAATTGTACAGCCACAAAAGTTAAGGCTTGGGGAGATGAAGAAATTTATAGCCCAGAAAAAATAAAATAAGGCTAAGGAGAAAACAAAATCCATCAATTCTTATGTCTGAAAACAATGAGAATAAAATAAAAACGAGACAAAAATTATTTCCTTGTTTCAGTCAATAGAAAATTGTTCCAAAACACCATTGCAATGTTACATTTTTATAATTTATTTACTTTTTAATTTTGACTCTATTTTTCACTATTCTACATAATTTGCTGTAAACATTTTTTTTAAAGCAGCTTACACTCCAGCCAAGAATAGTTTCAAGGAACTCTGAAAGGAGCGAAGTTAAACAACACTGTTAGTAAAGCCACTACAGTGTGACCCATATGATAGCCATGGTTAAATATGGCCAAAAATCATTATTATCATGCTTGTATTTTTTTTTTAAAGCTGATTACTTAAAAATAAGCTTTATTGGCCAGGCGTGGTGGCTCACACCTGTAATCCCAGCACTTTGGGAGGCTGAGGCGGGTGGATCACGAGGTCAGGAGATCGAGACCATCCTGGCCAACATGGTAAAACCCTGTCTCTACTAAAAATACAAAAATTAGCTGGTCATGGTGCCACACGCTTGTAATCCCAGCTACTTGGGAGACTGAGGCAGGAGAATCGCTTGAACTCAGGAGGCGAAGTTTGCAGTAAGCCAAGATCACGCCACTGCACTCCAGTCTGGTGACAGAGCGAGACTCTGTCTCAAAACACAAACAAACAAACAAAGCTTTATTAAATCACTCATATAAGATACACTAATTGATTCTAAAGTCCTATCATATTAGAATTAAAATTATATTACTTTATCTTTCTGCTCTTACATGTGTCAAAATACTTTTAAGCTGAAATGTTTCAGCTTAATGTTGGTAAAATACGAATCTCACTTTCATAAAATGTCATTTACATTGTCAAATTTTAATTTCAAATTCAGTGGTTCCACAAATTGTTTTATCTTTTCATTTTATAGAAGCCAGTGTTTTTAAATACATTTCAGAATTGTCTCTAAAGAAAATTAAATAGTTCTGTGTTATGGTTACCACCTTCTGTTACTAAAAGTAAATAATTTACAAAATATACTTTGATCCAAGAATATAGGATTATAAGTGGCCATGCAAGTTGCAATAGCTGTAGGCAAATTTTAAAATTGAAATTTGCAAGTTTAATTTATTTGCCAGTTAAGGAAATAGCATATTAATTCTACTGGAAGCAACCCAATAAAAAGGTGACTTATCAGTTGCTGAATAAAACTGCTTTATTTTATTCTCATAGAGAACTTTACATATTTTATTCACGTGTACAGTATACTTACTCTTTCAAGGCACAGTCTAACCAAACTTCCTCTCTGTCTCTCTCTCTCTCTCTCTCTCTCTCTTTCTCTCTCTCTCTCTCTCTCTCTCTATATATATATATATATATATATATATGGAGTCTCACTCTGTCACCCAGGCTGGAGTGTAGTAGTGCAAACTCGGCTCACTGCAACCTCCGCATTCCGGGTTCAAGCCATTCTCCCACCTCAGCCTTCTGAGTAGCAGGCACGTGCCATCACACTGGCTAATTTTTGTATTTTTAGTAGAGACAGAGTTTCACCATGTTGGCCAGTCTGGTCTCGAACTCCTGGCCTCAAGTGATCCACCTGCCTTGGCTTCCCAAAGTGCCGGGGTTACAGGCATGGCCACCGTGCCTGGCCCCAAACTTTCATTTTAAAGCTTTGATGTCCATGATTGAGAGTTTTACATAAGTATTTTCTCTGGCAGTTATTAAACCAAATATTAAATGAATAAGAATTAAAATTCCTATTCAGCTCTTTTTGTATAAAATTGTTTTTCAGTAGCAAGTCCCTAAAGAACATTGTTCAATAATAGTACTAAATTAATATGATTGCATAATACATCTAGTTAAATGTTTATCAGATTCCAGAGTATCTGATAAATATCATGGAAAACAATTATGTAATTTTAAGGGCATTTATCACCCTATGCTCCCAAATGTAATTAGCTCTTGCAACATGACTAAGTAATCCAGTTGGAATACTGTGCTGTAGCAAAAAACATTAGATACCCAAATAAGCCTAAAAAGAGCTATAAGCTATATTTCATCATTAGTGAAAAACATCTAAAATACAAAAAATATTCTAAGGAATTTTAATTTACAAACTCTTTTATGCCAATATAAGGGAGGAAAAGAATTAAAAACAGAATATCTTATAAAACTGTAGCTAATTCTGTATATATTCAATTTAATCACTACTTACTTTGTAAGAGTTATAGTGTATGTAAATTTTTCTAATATCCAAAACTTGTGTCTGCCAGTACTATTTCTAAGAAGCATACAAAGTACACACATACACATGTACACATTTATATCATGTTATATAATATGAATGTTATAAATCTGACTATATAACAATATTCACTTGTAAAAATGTTAGTAGCTAGGATAAGGAGCTGTAGCCAATTGCTTCCCAATCCCACTCCCGTTCTGTAGGATACAGGCTTCTATCAGTTACATAAATAGTCTCAGATTTTCAATTTCAAAATGTAGATTAAAATATATTTTTTTATTCATGCATCCATGTATATTAGAAGTATGTGTATAAGAAAGGTAATGGTATGCAGCATGAGAGAGGCCTGGGTTTGAATCTCATCTCTAACAACTACTGACCTTTTCATTGGGGTCATGGATTTCTCATATGTAAAATAGGGTATAAAACCTACATTGTAGGATTCTTCTGACTACTCATAAAAAGTATGTGTTATGAACTAAAGTTTGCCCCCAAAATTCATGTTGAAACCTTAACTCCCAATGTGACTATATTTGGAGATAGAACCTTTAAGGAGGTATTTAAGGTTGCATAGAGTCATAAGGGTAGGACCCAAATCCAAATGGACTGGGTCCTCAGAGAAGAGAGAGATGCCAGGCTGTACACACAGAGGAAAGGCCAGGTGAGGACACAGTGAGAAGGCAGCCATCTGCAAGCCAAGGAAAGAGGCCTCAGGGGAACCCAACTCTGCCAGCACCTTGATTTTCAACTTCCAGCATCCAGAACTATGAGAAATAAATTTCTGTTGCTTAAACCACCCAGCCTGTAGCATTTTGTAATGGCAGTTATAGGAGACTAATACAATGTGTTTAAATGACTAGTGTATTTTTGTAATACATACTCTAGTACCAAAAATGCTACATCTACCTCTATTATAATTATAATAATAATTATTAATAATATAAGGAATCAGAGGCCATGTAGTACATGGTATATTTAGAGCAGCAGAGTTCAATAGAACATTCTTCCATGATGGAAATATTCTTTAATTTGTGCTGCCCAGTATATTAGTCACTGGGCACATGTGGCTATTCAACATATTGAGCATCTGAAATGTGGCTAGTGTAACTGGAGAACTGAATTCTTAATTTAAATTAATTTATAATTGTAATTCCAGCACTTTGGGAGGCTGAGGTGGGTGGATCACTTGAGGTAAGGAGTTGGAGGCCAGCCTGGCCAACATGGTGAAACCCCCTCGCTGCTAAAAACAAAAACAAAATACAAAAATTAGGTGGGGATAGTGACAGGCACCTGTAATCCCAGCTACTCAGGAGGCTGAGAAAGGAGAACCGCTTGAATCTGGGAGGCAGAGATTGCAGACAGCTGAGATCGCTACACTGCACTCCAGCCTGGGTGACAAAGTGAGCCTCCTCCTCAAAATAAATAAATTAATTAAATAATTTACATTAAAATAATCACATTTGGTAAATGATATACTGGACAGTGCAAATCTAGAGCATCTGCAATTTACTTATGCTATTTTCATCATGGTTCGCTTTTTCTCTACTACATAATACAATGAAGACTTCTTTAGGCCCTTTTACCAAATTACCAGAAATTAATCTGGAAAGTTTTCCAATGACTCTAACATTACTCATATTCAGAAAATATAAAATAACCTCGCCAGCTAGAACAATGATATATTCTGGTTTTATTCAGTTTTTGTGTAATAGAAGATCCCCAAGATCATAGTTATTTTTCATTGTATATTATCATTTATGGTTTAAAATTGTATCTGACTGTACCTTGTTTTGGACATAATTTAGCCATGTCTTGAAAGTCTAGGTTCATCAATATGAATTTTCTAAGAAAAGAAAGCATTTTATTAACATACATTTACTAATACATATTAATATGCCTCAAGAGTTCTTAACATATTGAAGAAAAATACAAATTCAAGGAAAGTCAACACTGAAACAAAAAGTAGCAAGAAAGAAAACCATTATGCCCAACTCTAAAACAAACAAACAAAAAACTCAGAAAATCTTTTGTCACAATAATCACATAAATATTTGGATTTTGGAAAGTTTCTTCTTTACCCAACCAGCCTAGACAGACTGGCTGCTAGTGTAACAATTGCCTCTGCCATGGAAGCACACCACATACCACCCCAACTTGCCACCCCCTAATCCACAGTTTCTGCATCCCTCAAAAATTTGTGCATCCTATTTCCACTCTTCTCTTTTACTTGTATTATATCATTGATTAGAGGAAAGGAAAATTATCTCTCATGTCTATAAGAACTGGCTCTAGAATGATTCAGGCACTTCTTAATACAAAGCTTAAAATTTCTCCATTTTCATTATTAAATACTGCAGATATGAGAACAAGTCAATTTTGCTAACCTTTTAAAAATGTTTGTCTGGGTCAAAACTCTAGGCACAAGTCACACATAAACTGTCAATGCTAATCTTAATTATCTTGAAAGCCCTAACTTATACTCTAATGATGGATTGACTTCTCATGGAAATTTCGTTAACAAAGAGAATTTCATCTTCTGAATTATACTCCATTTCATAGACGGAGTCAGTAAAGTAATATTGTGAGACAATACGGTAGTAGAAATATTCCTAATCACTAACATATTCTTTATGAAAATCATTATCACTTTTGCTGAAGTGACATTTCACTAGTGGTATCACAAAATAAAGAAGTCAAAATCATCTGATCACCCATTATCTTATTATTAAATGTGAAATAAATGTAGAGAACTTTAAAAATCTCTAATATGAATATTTGGCATCAATATTTTGTATTGTAAGCATGCAGCATAAAGTCTTGCTTTGCTATAACACTAAAATATGTGTGTTGAAGTAGGCAAACAAAACAATAGACCATTTTCATCACTATTTTAAAATTATCAAAATATAAGCTGTGCTAAGAAATGAATTTTCTGAGAAAGACTTTAAATTGTTCGCTATCAAAAATTTTTGAATAATTTTTATACTTCTAAGCCCATCTGTTCTTATTTTATCTAATTCTGAAAGATAAAAACCATTTAAATAAAATCACTCACTTTAGAAAATGATACTTTTTCATTAATCTTAATGACATATCTAATAAGAGGAAATCATTAATTTAATTAAATATATGGCCTTGAAGGAATACAGATGCAGACAGTCAACAAATTATAAAATTATACGGATGCAAATAATTTAAGAGCACTTATGACCTATTATTAGACAAAAAGAGGAAAAACTCAATGTGTTACTATGTTCACAGTTTGGGTAAAGACTAAAAGTGAGTATTAATAATAAAACACTAGTAATTATGAGGAACTTTTAAAAATTACCTTTAAAATTATTAAATATTATATTTATAATTATTAAAAAGTAAACTGAATTTCAAATGGAATGAATTTTCCACTTAGGAGGTACAGCAAAGGAAAAACTTGGGAAAAACCTAGGAGTTTCTCTAATCCCTGTGTGTCCTTCACGTCCCATCTCCAATCTAAACCATCAATAGGTTCTGCCATTCCTACTACAAAAATAATTCATAAATCTATTCACATTTTCCATCCCTGGACTGATGAATTAGTCTCCTTATCGATCTTTTCCCTACAACACCCCCAAATCTATGCTACACAACATCAAGCCACTTGTTTGCTTAAAACTCTTTAATATCTTTCCATTACATTTAGAGCATACCCAAACTTCTTGCAGAGACATACAAGCCCCTACATGATCTCAGGCCTGCCTCTGTTCTCCTCTCCTGCCTCTCCCCCGTCCTGTTTACTAAGCTCCAACTTCACCGAACTTGTTTTCACCTCAGGCCTTTGCATACGCTGCTGCTTCCACCTGGAATATTTTTCCCATGCAGACCTTTCTTCAAGGCCAACTTCTGCTTATCCTTCAGGTTGTCCATAGTCACCCAATCTAAACTCTGTCCGAAGAACTAGGTTATCCTGGGACTTTATATTTCTTTTGCAGATTTTCAAAGGCAATTCATTGCTTCAAGGCTAATTGCCAATGCCCAATTTGCACTTGAATAAAGAGGCTTACCTAGGAATATATATGTCTGTTAGCAGAAATGACCTCCTTTAGGATCAATACTTTCACAGGTTCCCTTAATGTTCTCAGTACTCATATTCAGTTTGAATCCTATATCCTTCCTGTAGTCTTCTCTGACACATAGCTTACCTCCTTAGCTAGCCTGTAAATATATAGAGTATAGGGACTACTGCTTATTCATTGTTATATTCACAAATTGCATTCTACATAGTATTAATAATAATTATTGTATTATTCAAATATAATAATAGCAAGTGCTTATATAGGGCTTACTACAGGAAACAAGAACTGTTCTAAGTATTTGATGCATAGTAACTCATTAAGTGATATGATTAGACACATCAACAATAAGACAGGTATTTTCATTATCCTCATTTTACAGATTAAAGAAAACTAGAAGCTCAGACAAGATTATTGGCCAAGGTCATTGGGTTAGTGATAAACCTAGGGCTGAAACCCAAGCAGTCTTCTGTTTACAACAATGTTACATACACATTGAATATTGAAAGAATGAAATAGTTGATAATAATTCACTTCAAGCAATAATCTTGTCTTTGGATAATTTTGTGAAAAATTGTTGGACTTTTTTTCTAAAGTTTTGCCCAAGACCTGGCTTCTCACTTCTAAAATCTATGATAACTTTTGCTTCACTGGTAATAACATCTTTCATGGCACAACATTTGAAAGGAACACATGCTAGATAATTCTCAAATCAATGCTGGATAGCATTTATGGAGCGACCATGTACTTCTTAAATTTACACCGTATATTGGAAAAGTATAATGTACTTCATTTAAGTCAGAAACAGAGGAGTTGGTGTAGTGCAAAGAATTCAGGATTTGGATGCAGAAAGTCTAGGCTTTTGTCCTTATTTCTCCATTGCTACCCGTATGACCTTATGACTACCTTGATATCTCTAAGCCTCAATAATTTTCTCACCTGTAAAAAGAGGAAAATAATGTCCAATAATTAAAGGCATTATGAAGCCTAATGAATATCAAAAAATACAAGATCATTATTAAATAACAATGTTGCAGCTACTGAATATATGCAGGACATCACACAGTGCCAGGATATAGTCCACAGTTATTTTATTGCTTCTCCAGTGAATGTGAATGAATGAAGAAAGATGAAGACTCCATCATGAAATTTGTTTTGGTTTTATTGGACTGGTCTAGTTTCACAGTTAGAAGACAACAAATTTTGAGAATAAATCTCAACAGCCAACTCTATGGATCGGGCATACTGACAGACCATTAAATGAGTCAAGGACTTTCTAATGGGGAATTAAATCAATCTGTTTATCCAGTGGCAAACAAATACTTTATAATACATTAAATGCAAAGAAGAATATCAAGCCGTTAATGAAGGGGGCTGTGGTGTAGGGGAGTAAGTAAGAATGCCTGGGTTTGAGTTCTGTTTGTGCCATTTACAGCTGTGAGAATTTCATTTAAATATTGAACACCGCTGACATTGTTTCCTCAGCACTAAGATGGATATAAAAATCCCCACAGGACTGTTACAAATATTAAATAGAATAGTGTCTTTAAAAACACAATGCCTGATTTAATATGCTGATTAAGACATGCTAAATGAGACAGTCAAGAATAGAGAATCGCTACTGAACTGAAGCCATTCTGTGGCTGGGGAATTGTTCTGTATGCAGAATGCCAGTCACAGATTAAATGTTTGGTAAATACTGTGAAATTAAAGTGCATCACACAGAAAGGCCTTTCCAAGATATCAGCCGAACACTTAGTTCATTTGTAGCCATTTGTAGCATTTTGCTCTCAGAAATAGAATATAAGCACACACACACAAACACACACACACACACACACACACATATTTACAAATGCAATTTAACCCAAAGTTCTGAATGCACATATGTGACACAGTTCTATACTCCTTTTCAGAAAGTTAATTTCTGTTGGCAATGTTGTTAAATGCAAGTTTTTTAAATGTTCTATTTTAGGATATTTAACTAGGAGTGGAAGCTCCCCAAGGACATAATAATGAAGTTCCAGTAGGCAAGGGAGTGTAACCACATTTCCAGAAAGAAAAATAAAGCTATTTTTTGAAACAATTAAAAGATAATAGACCAGCAGAAATTTTACAAACGGAGACATTTTTTATTTTATTCGACATAAATCACAAGCTATCTCCTGACTGAAATCTTCCTATTAAAAACTCAGAGGAAATAACAGTTTCCACTTGTATGACATATTTGGTTTATGATTTGTGATGATAAATGGCAATATTACATCTTTGACTTGATTGCTTTAGAGTCGTCTGTTCTGTCATGGGTGCTGGGTGGGGTGAAGCTCATGTATCTGTTTCCAAAACTCCAGTGTATAATATATATGTAAATATCCCTGTCATCTGTATTCTCAATGAACATGCACCACAATTCTTTTTATCTCTGTAAATCTTTTGATTTGTTTTCAAACTAGTTTTAAGTAACTGATGTGCCTGTGTATCTCAAACTCAGTGCAAAATATATTAAACTAATTGTCATAGCTATAATTGAGTATCTAACAATAATACGCATTATTCAGTAAGATGTTAGAGTAGCAAAGAGAAAAAGGTACCTCATCTCAGGAGATCTTGGCAGGACTTCTGTAAGATATAACTGAGGAAAACTACCTAGCTCCCCCTCCGATCTGGCGTAGGATCAGGAGTTTCCACATTTAGATAATTGAGTCAAGGTTTTGGTTCTGCAGATAATCTGTAAGTGCGTACACATTTCCTACAACAGGTGTGAATAAGTCAGCATGAACTGTATTTATCTGACTTTATTAGCTGACTTACTTAGACGCATTTATGCACTTCTTCAATAAAAATTTTTCAAACAATGGCAACCATTTTTCTAAGGATTGCTGGTACAGCAATGACTCTAGAAAAAAAATACCTTCCCACATAAAGCTTACATTCTAGTTGGGGAAAACAGACACAAAATGAATAAGTAAAATGTTTAGTACAACAGATGGCAATAAGTTCCATGGATAAAAATAAAGCAAAAATGGACATAGGGTATGGTTACAGGGAGACGGTTCCAATTTTTAAAAGACTGGTCTTATAATGTTCACTAAGAAGATGATGTTCTAGCAAAGACCACTGATGTTTGACATTTGAGTACTCAGTGCTTCATTATCATGCCAGCACCACTGCCATAGGGGACAGCACTCTCCTGATCAACTACTGTAGAGTTGTTAAGATGAAAATTCAATTCTACATTCATTATTGTAATTTATTCTTTGAGGTGAGTATAATTTCCTATTGATTTTATATGTGAAAATAATGAGGTAACAAGTAAGTGTTAGGCTAACTTATTCAACATCACTCACTTGTGAGGGGTAGAGTCAGGACTCCAGGCCAGGTCATCTGATTTTCAAACTTGCACACTTATTACTACAGCATGGTGACCATGGAGGTAGATCACCACAGGCAAATGTCTCAGGACACCAAACCAAGCCAAAGGACACCAAAAGGAAAGGCAGAGGAATGTTAGATAATTTTTCCCATTTTGCTATGATTTAATTCTCTTTGTTTTCACAAAATGCATCTCAATAATTAATTATAGAATTATGCAAATACCCTTCATAAAATACAACTATGACTACAACTATGACGATGTCTACTACTACTACTAATAATAATAATTATAATCAAATCCAATTTCTTCCCATGCAAACCAACCTTGGGCCTAACTACATTGCATGTCTCCCCATTTCAGCTACTAGAAAATGTCCTCCAAATTTAAGCTCTTAGCTTTTATCCTACTATCACATGGTTTCTTCCCAATTCCTCAATTCCAACTAGAATTAATCTCTACTATCCTTATATTCTCAACTTAGTTGCTTGACTTACCAGATTTTCATGTTTATCTCCTCTTCTAAGTTATGAATATGTATATGGCAGAGTCAATGTCTTTTTCATGATTACATATCACATAAATGTGAATACAAGGCTTTACTAATAGTATATTCTGAACAAATGTTGGTTGAATTAAAATCAAACCACATATTAAGGAGTACACTTTCAAAAATATAGCAAGCACCCTCAATTTCCCAACTAGCCTCTGAACAGCACTATGGCCAGATCACAATACTTAGTTCCCTTATATTTTTGCAGAAACTAACCTAGTACATGTAGAAGGCAAATAAATTAGAGATTTTAAAAAGTCATGATATTTAAAAATCATAAACTGTTAAATAAATATAGTTAATTGGATATAATTTATTCAATGAGGGTCTATGAATACAATTTAATCCTAAGATAGTGCATCTTTGAAAAATGACTTTTGAACTAAAGAGGAATATAGATTGTGGCTCTAAGTTGAACTAATGTAGAAAATAATAGTATAGACTTCTTCCAAATTTGTATTACCAAAAAGAATGGGAAATTGAACTAATTAGATGCAACGGGGTTGAGAAAGTCATTTAATTAATTGTTTCTATTTGAAAACCAAAGAGTAATACCACATTACATTTAACACCTTTTTTTAGTCTAAAAGCCTGTAATTCCTTTATAATGATGATGATGGCATATTTCTTTAACAGGTCATTTATCAAATGCATATATAATTTCTATGGGAAATGTATTCTCTGGGTAAATTAGAGATGACTAAATTACTATAATTTATTATTAATCTTTATTTGATGTTAAAATAATTGTTGAGGCTACAGGATGATATGGAGCTTCAAGAAATACTAATCAATGATAATGACATATGTGCATGGCATCTCACAGACAATGTAAGCTTTTAAATAACATATACAAACACTTACTCTTGTTATTTTGTAGTTAAATTTTCAACAAAAGATAGATAATTGCAGTATGTCATTTTTCACACTTAAGGGCTTTGTATAACCTAAATGGAAGTCTTTGAAAATATTTGTATAATGAGATAGAACTAACATCTATGATTTGATACATATTGTATCAACAATCAAACATTAAGACATTATTCTGTAATATTGATTCATGGTATGTTTTGAAATCACCATAGAATTAGGCTGGTAATTGGAAAACCATTTAAAAGCTATCATATATATATTTTTCATAAGCTCTCAGCTGGATTATCAGTGTCTTCTGGAAGTTCTCTAAATGCACACTATAGAAAAACATTTTTATGAGAAATGCTTATTGGAAGTCAGTTTTCCTTCCAATATGTGCTTCTTTTTACGGTTAAAATGAAATTTACTAAGCAAGGACATTCAGCACAAGATGGACACGCAGGTTTGATGTCCATTTCCCAGTGCCATGCAGCATATGCACCTCATTTTAAAAAGTCAGTTTTACCTTACACAAATACTATATTCATGCTCAGAGAGGATAACCTAGTACAAAGATATCTCTTCATATTTTTCTACCTATGGTACAGTTTCTTTCTAACCAAGAACTGTTCTCTGCTGTTCCTCTTGATTATCATGCAGATTCTCTGATTTTTAATGCATCCAATCAAGATTTTTAAAAAATCAGAGCCTAAAGAAAAGAAAAGAGATCTAGGACCGAATTCCATTACCAAACCACCATGATTAAGTTCAATTTATCCTGAAAATTTACTCTATGAAATAGTGTTTGAATTAAATGTGCCAATAACCAGAGCGTGAAAATAACTTTGTTATATGGAAATTTTGATTAAGGCATTTGTTTTAAATGACAAACTTACTCTTTGTTATTAAACTGTCTGGAATTTTTATCTTAAGCTACAAACTCAAAGTAAACAAACATTAAAGTTTAAAAATGAACAGATGTCCACTGATTATAACCAGAATTTATCCGAGAGAAAATGTTGAAATGTAATTTTATTATCTAGGCTACTCTTTTGCTTCTAATAGTCAATTTTTTAAAGTAACAGAGCACGTTCACGACTATCATCATGAAGCCCAGTCTTTACAAAAAGTGTAGAAAATGAGTTACTCATTTCTCTTGCCATCATCTATAGTTTAGAAGCACATATCTGTCAGACTGAACTATGACAATTTAATGAGATTTTACCAGATCTTGCAACATCTATATATAATTGTCATATAATTAAAATGAATACTACACAAAGGACTACCCTATTTCTTGAAACAGTTCAGAAAAGTTAACTACAAAATGGCAAGAATAAGTATTTGTATATATTATTTAAAAGCGTACACTGTTCATTTATGAGATGCCATACATACATGTCATTATCATTAATTAGTATTTCTTGAAGCTCCATCTTATCCTTGTAATCTTAACAATTATTTTAATATCAAATAAAGATTAACATGATATATTCCATCAGTTTAGTTATCTCTATCTTAAGAATAAATTTTCTATAGAAATTACATATGTATTTGATAAATGACCCTATAAAGAAATATGCAATCATCATCATTATAAGAGGATTACAGGCTTTTAGAGCAAGAAGAGGTCTTAGATGTAATATGGTATTACTCTTTTGTTTTCTAATAAAAGCAGAGTCATTAAATGACTTGCTCAATTCCATGCAACTAATTAGTAATAAAGACAGACTTAGATCTCAGTCTTAAAACCAATGTGATGTTCTTTTCATGAAACAAAGCTGCCTCCCTCCAAGTACTAATCATGCTAACATCTGATCATTATCAAGCAGTTCTTATGTGCCAAGCTCTGTTCTAAGCTCTTTGCTCATTTCTTCTTCACAGTAATATGTCGGGTAAGTACTCTTAGTTTCAGCGTTTTATAGTTGAGAAATCTGAAACAGCAAAGTTTAAGTCACTTGCCCTTCACATAAGTAGTAAGAAACTGATCTCTTTTTGACCCAAGAACAATGGCTCCAGAGCCCTTGCTCAAAATCATACTATATTATTGCATGTAGTTTTAAAAGACTAAACTCTTCACCAAAAATGAAGTCAAAGGCATCATCTTTCACTCAGACTGTCTTCCAATCTAAGACACCTAATAATAACACAATTAAAGATAATTAAATCAGACTTCAGGCTAATCTTTCCTGGACTTACTTGGGAGACTCAAACACACAGCTTTCAGTGACACTTTGCATATGCCCCTACAAATAACAATGAGAGTTCTCACTGATTGATTCATTCACTTTATTCCTTCAGCAAATTTTTGCTGAAAACCAATATCAAAAGATACTCTTTTGGGGAATAAAACAAAGATCTCTGTTCTTGTAAACTTGCACTCCCCTGAGTGGAAAAAAAAACACATCCAAAGTGTTTTATTTTATTCCCCCGTGGGAGAAATAGTAAATAATAAGCATAATAAAAGTGAATTTTATAGTATGCTAGAAGGTGATAAGTAGTATGAACAAAACACAAAAAAAGGCCGGGCGCGGTGGCTCACGCCTGTAATCCCAGCACTTTGGGAGGCCGAGGCGGGTGGATCATGAGGTCAGGAGATCGAGACCATCCTGGCTAACAAGGTGAAACCCCGTCTCTACTAAAAATACAAAAAATTAGCCGGGCGCGGTGGCGGGCGCCTGTAGTCCCAGCTACTGGGGAGGCTGAGGCAGGAGAATGGCGTGAACCCGGGAAGCGGAGCTTGCAGTGAGCCGAGATTGCGCCACTGCAGTCCGCAGTCCAGCCTGGGCGACAGAGCGAGACTCCGTCTCAAAAAAAAAAAAAAAAAAAAAAAAAAAAAAAAAAACACAAAAAAACGGAAAATAAAAAAGAAAAGTAGAACCAGGTTAAGGGGTATTTGAAGATGGAGGAGAGTCCAGTTTGCAATTTTAGTGGTGAGATCCCGATACATGTCACTTTCCTTAAGAAAGTAACATGTGCACAAAGATGAAATGAAGGAAAAAGGTTAACCTTGGAGTCACCTAGAGGAAAGGCTTGAGGAAGATGAGAACTACTGCAAAGTCCCCAAGTGGGATTATGACTGGGGTTTTGATACACGGCTGAGGAGAGTGATCAAGGGGCGGAGACACAGGAGCCACAGTCAGAGAGATACCTGGAGCCAGAAAGTGAAGTGCCTTGAAGGCCACTGCAGGGACTTTATAGCTTCTGTTCTGAGAACGACGGGACTATTGCAGGGTTCTCAGCAAAGCAGTGACATGATCTGACAAGTTTTACAAGAATCACTCTGTCCATTATGTTAAAAATGGACTTTTGTGAGACAAGAACAGAAGCAGGGAAATAAGCAAAGGACTTTTGAAGTAATCTAGGTAAGAAATGATAGTGGCTCAGACACTCTCAAGGGTGGTAGCAGTAGAAGTGTAAGAAATGTTAAAGTTTTGGATATATTTTGAAAGTGGAGCCTGCAAGGTTTTTATTTTATTCAAATGAATGTGAGCTATTGTGAGAGAAAGAAGAGTCAAGCGTGACTCTCAAGTTTTTGGTCTGAATAAACTAAGAAAGATGAAACTGCATTTAAAAAGATGAGGAAACCTACGGATGAAGCAGGTTTGGGGTGAGAGGAAGTTTGGAGCATGCTGAGTTTGAGACATATATTAGTCGCTTAGTAGACTATTGAAAGAAGTTGAACAAGTCTAGAAGTCTAGGAGTAAGGGATGGACTGGAAATTTACATTCAGGTGTGTGAGATTATAATATATATATTTATGTATCTGCCTATTGGTTTTCATCCATGATTCTATGGCCCTTGTTATGATGTTGAGGCATTTTAGGCCTTAAAAACAGGCCTTGGAAAACAGAATCTGTCTCTTTCTAAACTTCTCCCGTCCACCTTTAACCTGCTCTTTTTCTTTCCAAGGCTGGAGTCTTCCCCTGTTTTTCTGTCTTGGGAGCTGGCTGTAAAGAAATTTTACAGCCTGCCTTGTCTGATTGTAGGTCACAAGACTCCCATTTCAGAAAGGGTCCTGCCCCACACCTATGATGAAGGAATGCTGCACAGAGAGATCAAGAAGACATTGAATGGACAGGCCTTGCTGGGTTTTCCCAGTCAGTCTATTAGTATTAGATCACGCCCTTCTTGTCCAATCAAATTTCTACATGGTTATCAATCATGCCTCTCTAATGAAGTCTCCATAAAAGGCCCAAGAGGACAGGATTCTTACAGCTTCTGGATAGCTGAACACATGGAGGCTCCTGGAGGGTGGAGTGTGCCAGGAAGGGTGTGGAAGCTTCATACCCTTTCCCCCATACCTCACCCTATGCATGTCTTTATCTGTATCCTTTCTAATATTCTTTCTAATAAACCAGTAAACATGCTTCTCTGAGTTCTCCTAGATGGTTTAGCAAATTAATCAAATCCAAAGAGAGATTTGGGGGAACCCCAGCTTGAA
The DNA here is from genome assembly GCF_000001405.40 of Homo sapiens. Taxonomy (NCBI): domain Eukaryota; kingdom Metazoa; phylum Chordata; class Mammalia; order Primates; family Hominidae; genus Homo; species Homo sapiens. Next base: position 85,641,635 of record NC_000004.12, on the reverse strand, counting down.
ACCAATGGATTGAGGTATTGCAAGGTGGTTAAGGTAGGCCCTAATCCAGGATGATTCTAGAGGAAATCTGGACACAGACTCAGAGAGAAAACAATATGAAGACCCGGAGAGAAGATGGCCATGTACAAGGCAAGGAAAGAGGTGTGGAACAGATTTTCCCTTGCAGCTCTCAGAAGGAATCAACCCTGAAAATACCTTGATCTCAGATTTCTCACCTCCAGTATTGGGAGGAAATTAATTTCTGCTGCTTAAACTACCCTGTCTGTGGTACCTTGTTATGGCAGCCTTAGCAAACTAATATGGAATATAAAGCTAAAATAGCTCATCTTTTGCATTCATATGCAAAAGAATGATGTACAAAAAAGGGGAAGATTCAGGCCAAGAATGGTGTTGCACACCTGAGTCCCACTACGCGCAAGGCTGAGCTGGAAGGATCATTTGATACCAGGAGTTTGAGGCCACAGTGAGCTATAATTGTTCTACTGCACTCTAGCCTGAGTGATAGCGTGAGATGCTGTCTCTATTAAAAGAAAAGAAGATTCCTCCAGAGCAAGTTATTAACTTTCTTTAATAACTTAAAGAAATTTCTTTAGTTATTTCTTTAATAACTTAAGTAAATTTCTTTTCATTATTTTAATTAATAACTTAATTAAATTTCTCTGAGTTTGGATTTGTCAAATGAATTCTGTATTTGCTTGAGTGCTGCATTCCTGATTTATCTTGTATCCAAAAAATTGTTTTATAATTTTATCAATATAAATACTTTTTGAATTATCCTTCAATTAACATAAGTTACTCTATGGCCTTTGTTTGTGCCAAATAATCAAATCCTGACTATATTTATGCAAATGCAAAGCCATAAATGCACTTAAAGAGGTAGCAAGTATAAAAAGAGGAGATAATTACATATTAAATAATTGTTACCCTTTTATTCAGTTGAAGATATGGTCACAACCAGATTATAAATCCTTTGAGGGCAAAGGCTGACCTGTCGATTTTGAAAAGCAATATGAAACCTAGGGTAGTCTTAGACCTGGTAGAGTTTCAATAAGATGTTTGTTTAATAAACTCTAAAGTGTCATGAAAATTCTTATAGTCAATATTAAAATCTTAAGGTAGGATGTTTTAAAATGTAGGTATTATTTAGCTATGGCAAGGCCAACAAATAAGATGATGACTGCCATTGGAAAGACAGATTGTTATACCACAGATCCCAGAATGGGGAGCATGCCATGCCACAAGGGGCCACATAGGGAAGACCAGGGTTGGTCAGGAGGCAAAGGGAGTGGCATGGAGAGAGCAGATGGAAAGGTGGGTGAAAGTCTTTATTATGATTTCCACAGGAAGAAATGAGAGGAACAGGGTAAGTAGGTTTAGAATTGGTTCGTTTGAATACTTTCAGTGGGTTACGGGACATTGGGACTCTCCTATTAATAGCTGTCTGGTACCTCGCCCTGGAGTGATAAGGCAGGTGGCTAACGGCCTCATAGTGTAAGCATCTGATAAAAGAGGTTGTTGAGGGTGTGGGCTCTGGAATGGATTATTTGTATTTGAAAAACATGCTCCAGGGGCAGTCCATTTCTGTCTTCAGGGATTGGCTAACTCAGAGAGGAGGAAGAGGCCATAGCTCCAAGATTCACAAGGCCCTTAATATCAAAGCATCAGGATACAGACAATAAGAAGACATGGTTAACACACAGAAATTGCTTTATTTATAACGCACAGGAATTTGCCATTGTATTATTTATTAAAGGACTGAACAATATTTCTCACTTCTTTCAAACTCCCATCATGGCATATTAGCCTAGTCTTACCTTTTGCCTTGAAGCTGTTACAAAACTGTACTAGAAGCTGAATCTTAGAAAATCTTTCATAATTTTAGGACTACTTAATGAAAAAAAGGCAAACTTCTCCCCTCCTTTTTTTTTTTTTACCAATTATTCCCTCCAATAAATAGACACACATATTTAATATGACTTGTTTTTAAATAAAGAACTATTTTGTGCAAAGAAGGAAAACAAAAAGAAATTACAGAGTCTTTTTAATGTTATTGATTCTTCATTGATTCAAAGGACATTCAGCAATTATTTTTTCCCAAATGTAAACATCTTGGAGCTAACTCTGAGAATTTGTTATCTATTTAGGCTTACCGAACACTGGACAGGGTACAAAGAGATCCAAATCCTATTCTTCTTTTCTTTGCCTGAGATTTAGATCGGGTGCCTTTGCTTCTATAGCCCCTGAATGATTTTTTTATAAATGTAATACTCAGGATAACACTTTCTACATGAACATAGGCTAAAAAAATGCACTGAGATTCTAAAATTTACTGAAATAGTTAATAATACAAAAAATTTACTGAAGTAGATAATAACACTGAACTATTAGTACTCAATCTGTATCAAAGCTGCTGAGTGAGAAATAAGTTATATCTAAGAGTGTGATTAAAGAAATAGTGGTCATATCTGATTCTCAATTTCATGGGCTACATTCTCTTCTTTTGGGCAATCTTAGGACAATTTGGGGAATAAGAAACAAGAATAGAAATGCACACTACTGTATCATAAAAGAGATGTTCATTTCTTTAGATAAATATTAGCAGCAACTATGTAAAATGTATTCTACCTCCATTCGTCAGCTCCATGCCCATGTAAAATAACAGAAGGCCTCTGTAAACAGTGGTAATAAGATTCTGAAAGTTAGCACCATGAGATTATGTCAGTGACTAAGTTAATGCTTAAAGAAGTAAACCAAGAGTATTAGGTTCTTGTCTTTAATTCTCCAGTATGTTTTGCTCACTAGCATCTCCTTAAGAGAATTATTTATCTTGGAAGTTTTATTTGAAGAACAGGGTGTTCAGTAGTAAAGAGTAAATGGGCAGAGGATATCCCGTATCTACCCATGATAGTATACTCTGCTAGTTAAGTGTAAACTGAAACAAGCTTCTGGAGACTCTTCATTCTCACTGATCCAGCCTGATAAGGTGCCCAACATATTGTGGGCATCCACACACATCCACACACACAAAAGGAAAGTTGATGTTACTATTAGAGAGGAAAGGAAAAAAGGCAAGAATATACAGTCCTGTGTTATTACAATGGACAGGAATAGGGTTTCCTTTAGGTTTAAAATAAGTTTCTATCAGTCCTAGAATCTCTCTTCCCATAACCATTGGACATTTTTGGAGAAGTCACATGTCAGTGGAAGAATGCATCCCTTTAGTTTTTCAAGTGATGCCAAAGGTGTTAAGCAAGAAGAATATTAAATTGCAAAAGGCTTGTCTCTAAATTCATTGGAACAGCTGAACTAAAACCAGTAAGTCAGGTAGAATCTTACTCAGAGAAAGTTGTATCATATAACATGTACAAGTCTAATAAGTATCATTAAATGTGGTATTTGGATCTAAATAAAGTATTAGAAGACTAGCACAAAATGATTTCTCTAGCTAAATCATCACAGCAGTTCTTAAATCAGGGCTGACGTACAGTCATGAACATACAAGACCACCATGATAGGTAAGATGGAGGTGGAGATGAGACAAGTTATTACAAGGCTTTGCCATATTCCTGGCCTGCCCTGGTGCTGATTACTAAGGATACAGACTGGGACGAGAATGTGGTATGACTGAGATGGTTTGTGGCACAGCAGAAGCTTCTGCTCAGGAGACAAGGCAAAGAGAATGTAGATTCTGAATAAAGCCTAGGAACAGGAATGCAAACCACAGGCTTAGTTCTGAGCAATTATCTCCTGTGTTAATACATGTTCCTTTTAAAAAGAAAAACCTCAAATATGTCTTTGATTTAATTTAGCCTGTACAACAGGAATACTGATGTGAGCCAAATATGTAATTTAAAATTATCTAGTAGCTGCATCAATAAGAGTAAAAAAAAGTGAAATTAATTTTAATAATACATTTTATTTAATCTAATAGATTCAAAATATTTTTATTTCAACATCATTATGTATTGAAAATATTAATGAGAAATTTTACATTCTTATTTTGTAGAAAGTTTTTGAAATCAAGTATCTTTTACCAATATACAACATGTCTAAATTTGGACTATGTAGACACATTTCAAGTGCTCAGTTAGCCCCATGCGGCTAGTGGTTACAATGTATGGCTATTGGCAACATACATTTAGATGTTGTAATCTATTATTGAAGAATACTTAGAAGGTAAATATATGTTCGAAAATCAGTGTAGTTGAATGAATACCTAAAGATATATCAATTAACCTAAAACACCTATTCTTCATGATCTCCACTACACCCTTTATTTGTTGTCAAAATTTGGGATTATAGAGACCAAAAATTTGATGCAAAAGATCTTTGGACTATTAACAACCTTGGCTCATGTCAGCTTTTTTGTTAGAGGATCTGAACTATGATTTTAGTTATAGCTACGCTACCCAGGGAGATGATCCAGGGCAACCTATCCCAGTTTCAGACACCTTATGAGTATGCATCAGTTCACAATTACACCCATGAGAGTAAATGAAAAATGCATGCACTTCTAGGTAACACTGGCTATCTGTGCCACACATGTATTTAATTAATTTTTTCAGTTGCACTTGGCTCTAGATTTAATATTGCTTACACATCTAACTATGCAGGAAAATGATTATATATCCATGAATGCGACACTTTGGGGGACATTCTAAGAATATATGTTCATTCCTTCCTTTGAAAAATTATCTACTAAGTGCTTGTCATGTCTATAGATAGCAAAGCACTGAGGGTAAGACAGCAGGAGTGCAAATTCATACCACTAAGAGCCTACAGTTTGGTTTGGAGAAAAATACATATCAAATTACTGTATATGACTAGTGCAAAAACTGGCATTAAAAAAGAGAAATTAATTGGCCTTGAATTTGTCAGGAGAGATTTCATGGAGAAATTCAGACTTGCAATGGGTCACAAGGCTGATGGATTTGGACTGATAATAATTCCAAATTGTGTTATTTCCACCGCATTTTCAGAGGGTGAGGATAAGTACAGCCTAATTTAATTAGCAATGTAGTGTCAAGGCGTAATAGTGATGGCTAGCACTGAGTGTGTGTGTGTCTGTGTGTGTGTGTGTAATATTCCCAACAAGTCTATGAGATAGGTACTATTAATGTCTCCATTTTACAGATTAGGAAGCTGAAACACAGAAAGTTTAAATAACTAATGTCTGGAAAGCAAGAAGATACATGATGACTTGAGGTTAGGTACTTTGAATTCAAACCAACAGCAGAACACTCAAGTGTCAGGGGACTCTGCAACTAGAACACCCATAAGGTTGAGACTGCAGATATTATCTTGTGAGTGAAGCTTATATTATTAATTTACTGTAAGAAAACATCTGAAGAGAAGAAATGTAAAGACAAAAACTAACGCTTTGGGAAATACTCAAAGTTAGGAAAGAAATATGAGAAGGCAATAAAGAGAGATGATGCGTTAAAAAAAAACAAGGAAAGTGCAATACGATGGAGTCTAAAGAAGGAAGAGTGAAGGTCAGTCGTATCACATGAGGCAGGAAATCAAGGAGAATAAGGCAGGATAAACCTACAGAATCTACTTAAAGGAAACGTGTAGGGAAATTTTGATAATGTGAGTTAGTTCATTTATAGAGTAAATAATTGGCTATGCAATATTACAGAATCTAAAGAAGGAAGAGTGAAGGCCAATCATATCAAATGATGCAGGAAATCAAGGAGAATAAGGCAAGATAAACCTATGGAATCTATTTAAAAGGAAATGCGTAGGGAAATTTTGATAATGTGTGTTAGTTCACTTATAGAGTAAATAATTGGCTATGTTTAAAACAAAATTTTTACGGAGCTCTTGTCTTAAACGGCTATATTATTGGTACCTATGAAAAGAAACAAAATAGATATGGTCCTAGAAACTCCGCTGGTAAGATTTTTTTAAAATAAAATAGAAATTAGATTTAAAGCAAAATTAAAATCCTTTGTACGATCAAACTGCCTGCTCTGGATTCTTTCTGGGATATGCAATGAAGGCCACTTCACCTTGTAGTCTAGCAGTTAACTAAGTACTTTGGTTTCTTTCAGATGCAAAAATATCAGGAGAATAAGTTAAGAAAAATCTATAGATTTCATAGAATTTCAGGGAATTCAACAGAATTTGAAGGCACTTCTCAGTGAAATGAGGAGAAACTAAGCAATAAATAAAAGAGACAATAAGAATAAGCCATTGGTCTGGAAATCTTGGTAAGGTGCAACAAAGGAGAGACCTGTAACAAAAACTAAAAAACAATCAACACCTTTGAACATCTTCATTCACAAACTAGATCACCAGGTAATGGAGAGGTTGGGGATGAATGTGTTAATAAGGTCTTTCCTGATTAAAAAAAAAGTGGGTAACTATGGCAGGTACACATCAATGGTTTGGCACCATGCTTTTTGGCAGGTAAAGTCTTCATTTTTCTCCATTTTCCCCAACAAAGTTTTGAGCCCAGAATGCAGAAAGAGAAGAAGAACTGGTGATTTAGGAGGGCATTAATTACAAAGTAGTTTTTATACTCGCTATGAAAAATCTTTATGAAATAAAAAACATATATTGGTCTTGGTAGCAGAAATAAATAGCTGACAGTCAATGGTGATTTGAAGTGTTCCTTTATAACTAAGTACAGATGGGGTTCTCCACCTGATCTGAAGATGTATACATCTAAAGATTCAGGAGTGTCTGGCTAGGCTTTGAGGATGAATAAGGTGTGGGTATGTTTACTTGAAGGATAAGGAAAAAATGAGAAATGAGAAAGAATTAATCACAGGAAAAGAGAATATTCTTTTTAAGTAAAGTAGAAAGGCATCAAAGGGTGGCAATAATTCTAAGCATCTCAAGAGTTTATTACTGGAAAGGTCTTTTGGTCCATGCATTGAAGTCTGAGACATAGGGCAAAGGCAGCAATGGAAAAGAATAAAACTTAAATGAACTGGTAGTGGTAGTTTCATCAAAGATGGCAGTACCTTAGGAACCGAGGTCCAATCCAACACTGCTGGATATCACAAGTGATATTTTTGCTTATGCAAGAATGAACAATAGTGTTTTATTTGTGCACCTGAAAGAATGACATGCAGGAGATGAAGCAAAGAGGAATGCAAGAGTGGAAGAAACTGACAGTTACCATTTGGGAGCAAAAGAAAACAACTCATTCAATATACAGTAGACATCTTCTGAAAATGGCCACCAGGATTTGGACATATTTGAAAATGTGTAAGTTCCTGAAAATTGAGAGAAAGCTGAACCAGAGGAATCCTATGTTTGTTATTATCATGATCTTAATTTTCCTCCAGGCTGAAATTAAAAATAGAGTATTTAAGGAATATTAGTTATAACTGGAGGCAGAACAAATTTACTGAACTGAGGAATTCTATGGAATATTAAGTATATAGAGCTCATAAATTCTGGAAGCAAAACTTTTAATACTGAGACAAGTTATCTTTTTATTTCCCTATTGCATATTATGTACATCAATATATAACATTCACTGATTGAAAGGGGACTAAATAATTTGTGAGATTTTTTATCCTTCAGTTGAATGAGACTGCTAATTACTACATGCAAAACATCAGTTGCATAATTGCAAGTATAAGGTCAAGTCATTTACATAGGAGGAATTGTAAAAACAGTAATCAATATCTTCTGAAGGGGGAGTGTTCCTGCAGAATGTGGCTGTGGACACAACTAAAGACTTTTCAATGACAAAAATCAAAGAAAAATTTACTGGGAAAATAAAATTATATGATTCACAAGGTTCCATACTCAGTAGAATCTGGTTGCAGAGGCAATCTGCAAAACTCAGAACTTAACTTTAGAGAGGAGAAATCAGGCTCCCGAAATATTTCAGGAAGCAAGTAAGAGCTATACCTGCCCTAAAAGTATGTCTTTTGAACTATTAATTTACAATAGTTAATTAAAAGTGAATGAAAGCTAAAGTCTTAATCTCAAACTGAATTCTAATTTTCCTGGATCTTGGTGGGTGCTTCTCACTCACCTTCTGGGTGTAAGGTAAGATATTTCATGATTGTAAATATCACTCCGCTAGAAGAACTTTCTTGGCAAGAAATTGTGTATTTTACATATAGCAAAATAGATTTGAGAGGTCAGTTCAAGGAGTGATCTGCATTAAAATTTTAGGACCTTGCAGATGCCTAAAGTTAAAAGAAATTGCCCAATTTAAATACATGGCAGCACAGATCTATACTAATGGAAGATACCACATAAATACTTGATGAGAAAGGAGCAGACTATATGCTAATTTGCCAAAAATCATTTGTACTGGGTAACTTTCTAAACATTCTGAAACAATTCAAGAAAGCAAAATGCCATACAAAACACATGTCATCCCCATGTGTAATTTACAATCAGACTGACAGATAACCCATAAGATACATATCAAGAGGGCAAGAGAGTCAGAGAGACAGCCAAAAAAATGCCAGCTAGTGAGAAAAGCAAAGGAAAACATAGCCATTCAGATGAACTGTTAATATGAGAGGTGCCAAGATTTTCATATGAGCAGCCTGGTAACACTATAAGTACATATACACCAAGCATTTTAATAGCCAGGTTTCACTAAGAGCTAAAAACAGTAGGTGCTAGACAACAATGTTATTATGTTTCCCTTGAGCCAAGCATACATATAAAAGAAAAAAAAATGTTACCCATTGGAACAAAACCAAAAAGAAAAAAAATCAATGAGCCTATGAAAGTCTAAGTAAATAATACTGTTCCTGGGGTAATTAGCATCCTAGAACATCTGTTATCTCATTAGGGAAAACAAAGCCTAATTTTAACTCCTGATATTTAAAAACATTTATATATAAACCTATAAATGACACCTTTATGTGTGAAGAAACATATAGCAGCAGGTAATTGCAATTGCAAAGCAAAATGGAGCTTGGAGAGGCAAACATTTCATTGGACACTGCCATTAGACATTAATTTGTTATTAATTAATGCAGACTTGGCAGCTAGACTGCATACTTCTTAACTGAAAATCAAATTCTAAATCACCACTGTGTATACACGATATAAAAGGCTGAAAACACAGTGAGTCCACAGGGATATTTTTCTTTTATATTACCTTTAACAAGTATGTATAAGCTACCTTAGGTTCTTGTTATTATATAAAATCCAATGAAATGGGGTTCTGAGGCCTTGCCCCAATAAAATACAGAAAAATGCCTACTGCCCCAAGCATCTCTCTTTATTGTTTTACCAATAAAAGAAAAGAAAGGTTGGGACAACACATGTTCCCAGTTCTCCAGTTACGTGACACATAACTTAAGTTGAGAAAAAGAAGGTCAGGCTTTATGTGTGGCAGAAGCTGCTAGTTGTCTATCAATATATATTTTTCATTCTTTTAAACAGTAATATAAGCCAAGTTTTTATATGGTCTGAGGCTATATAGAGATCAGAGAACATATGGTAAGACAACAAAAATAGATGAATCATGAGGTGATAAAGTTCAGAAAAAGAGTAGAAGAAAAAAATGAACACACCAGATAAAGACAAATTAGAAAGAGCTAAATGGTCTGTAAAATAATATATATGGAAATCAAGGGAACAAACAAGATATTAAAATATAAGTTCAAGAAAACTTTCCATAAATAAAGGAAGAATTGGATCTATGGATACAAAAGACACACTCAGAACTATTTAACATGTAGATGTATTCTAGTTACATTAGAGTATTTATAAAGAAAAAATTTTTTGAATAGCTAGGTAAAAATATCAAATCATTTTTAAGGGGCTAAAAATCAGTCTGACCTCAGTTTTCTGTATCACAATAGTCAACATTAGATGACAGTAGAAAACATGGTGACAAAGACCCTAGGCATAAAATATGACACAATTTTTTTTCACTCACCCAGACTGTTGTTCAATAGATACATTTGTTTGAACAAGCAAAACCAAGGAATATTGCTATGATCTCAACTTGAAAAAGTAAATTGAGTAATAATTTTGTCACATGAGAAAGAATAGGAAATCTATAGCAAAATGATTAGAAGTGAACATTGAATCTATTTAAAACGTGGGGATTACGGTTGTATAATTTTTTGTAAGTCTTATACATTCTGAAAATGCTAATAAAATAGACATTGAAATAAAGAGAAAAGGCTAGAAAAGTTTTAAAATGTGAAGTTACTTTTTTCTTACAGCTAGTTGAAAAACTATATCATCCAAAGAGTAATTGGAAAAGTTTCCGTTTATCTAACAACATTGATGTATATATTAAGAAACCTAACATTATCAACTACATTGAGCGTGGAAAAGGAAAGGTAGTGAGATAAATATGTTAACATAATAATTGACTCTTTTAAAGAGTAAACAGATATTGTAAAACATAGAGAATTAAGAAAGATATATAAATTTCTAGCTTAAAGATATCTATTCAAGTGAAACCTTTTTATCTTTTTTATCTTTCGATACAAAAGTACTAAAAGAAACTAAGAGCAAGTTGTTTTAATTATCTCAGAGTATGGAAGACCTTCCAAAGTATGATGCAGAACCCAGACAATTTCAACTCTATAAACTCAACCATACACTTACTCTCTCTTTTTCTCTTTCTCACTCTCCCTCTCTCTCTGTGAGAGAGAGAATGTGTGTGTGTATACACATGCATGTGTGTGTATATATACGTGTGTGTATGGCAGTGAATAGTATAAGTACTATTAAAGAACAACAACAAACTGGGGAAAATATTAACACTATGTATCACAAAGACTAACTATTTAATACATCAAAAGCTCCTATAAATCAACAAGTAAGGGCTAACATTCTTTAGAAAAGGAAACCCAGCATAGAAATGTAGAAAAAGATGCTTAATTCTATTTATAATAGAAAAAGCAAATAAAATATTTTAAATAATTCTTTAAATTATTATTTAAATAATTCTTTAAATTATAATGTACAATGTTAGATAGAGTATTAGAAAAAGATACTCATATGATTGGCACCCATGAACTTAGCTTTCTGGTTGGCTCCTGTGGACACAGTCTCTAGGCATCCCTCTGCAGACCTAGGCTCCATGCCAGCCCATTTGAAGACTCCAGCTGTAAGCCCTTCACAGACCCCAACAGTTGGCCTGCTCAGTATCTCTGGATGAGCTGACTAGTAAACGTTTATCCTGCCAAAGCCAATCTGTAAAGACTACAGGAGGTACTACTTCTTCAAATGTGCACACACCAATGAACAGCCACAAGGATCATGAATAATCACAGAAATGCGACACCATCAAAAGAACAAAATGAAGAAACAGTCACCAACCCTAAAGAAGTGGAAATCTACAAGTTGTCTGAAAAAGAATTCAAAAAGTAGTCTTAAAGAACCTAGTGAGCTATAGGAGAACAAATAGACAATTAAATGATACCAGGAAAACAACATATGAACAAAATGAGAATGTCAACAAAGGACAGAAATCATAAAGAAGGACCAACCAGATATTCTATAGCTGAAAACTCCAATGCCTGAACTGAAAAATTCTATAAAAAGATTCAACCGCAGACTCAGTCAAGAAGAGTAAATAATTAGCAAGCTCAAGGACAGGTCATTTAAAATTACCTAGAGGAAAAAGAAAGAAAGAAGAGAAAAGAATAAAAAAGAGAGAAGAAAGCCTATGAGACTTATGAATCATCATCAGTGGAACCAATATACACATTATGGAAACCAAAGAAGAAGCAGAGAAAGAAAAGGGGTCAGAAATCTCATTTAAATAAATACATAGAAAACCCCAAATTTGTCAAGGTAAATTAACATTCAGATCCATGAAGCCCAAACAACACCTAATAGATTAAATATAAAGAGATCTTCACTGAGACATATTATAATCAAATTCTCAAAAGTCAAAGACAAAGATAGAATTTGGAAAGCAGTAAGAGAGAAGTAACTCATCACATTCAAGGAAACCTGATCAGATGATTTCTCAGCAGAACCACTGTAGGCTAAAAAAGAGTAGGATGATATGTTCAAACTGTTCAAATAAAAAAAACTGCTGACCAAGAATAAGATACCTGGCAAGACTGTCCATCAGAAACAAAGGAGAGATATAATTTCCCACACAAACAAAAACTATGGGAGTTAATTTTTACTAGACCAGTCTCACAAGAAATGTTAAAGGAAGTTCTTCAAGTTGAAACAAAATGATGCTAACAAACAATGTGAAAACATATGTAAGTATAAAATTCACTATGAATTTATGAATATAGTCAAATTCAGAAGACTCTATTATTATAAAGATAGTATATAAATAACTTGATTTTAGTGTAAATGTTAAAAGTCAAAAGTATTAAGTATAGCTACAGTAATTTGCTAATGGATACACAATATATTAAAGACATAAACTGTGATGCCAATAACATGCTACATGAGGGGAGGAGAAATTAAAGTATAAAGATTTTTGTATGTGGTTGAAGTTCCCTTGTTATAAGCTAGCAATAGACTGTTATAACTATAAGAGGTTCTTTGTAAGCCTTGTGGTAACCACAAAGAAAAATCCTGCAGTGTATTCACAAAAGATAAAGACAACAGAATCAAAACGTACCACTACAAAAAGAATCATCACATCACAAAGGAAGTCAGCAAGAGAGAAAGAACAAAGAAGTTATAAAGTGGAAAAAATTAAAGTTACCTATTAATAATAAATTCAAATATAAATGAATTAAATTCTCCAGTCAAAACACATAGAATAGCTGAATGGATAAATAACAACAACCAACCATACCTTGCCTATAAGAAACTCACTTTTGCTTTAAAGACACATATAGATTAAAATTAAAGAAGGAAAAGATATTTCATGCAAATGTATTACCAGAGAGCAGAAGTGTCTATACTTACATTAGATAAGATAGAATGCAAGTCAAAAACTGTCATAGAAACAAAGAAGGTCATTATAGGGTCAATTCACAAAGAAGACATAATAATTGTAAATACATGTAAAGCCAACATCAGAGCACCTAAATAAATAAAGCAAATGGTAAGAGAACTGAAGAGATAAATAGACAGCAATACAATAATCATAGAGGATTTCAGTACCCCACTACCAATAATGGGCAGATTATCCAGACAGAAAATCAGTGAGGAAACAGTGGATGTGAACACCGCCACAGATAAAATGAACCTATCAGATAGATACAGAATATCCCATCCAACAGTAGCCGTATTCCTTCCATCCAACACCAACATATTCTTTTTCAAGCATGCATGGAACATTATCCACAATAGAATATATTAGCCCACAAATTGAGACAACAAATTTAAGAAGACTGAAATCATATCAAGCATGTTTTCCAGCTGCAATAATATGAAATTAGAAATCAATGACAGGAGAAATTTCAGAAAATTCTGATACAGAAAAACTAAACAACATGCTCCTGAACAATCAATAGTCAAAGAAGAAATTAAGGGGGAGGAGCCAAGATGGTCAAATAGGAACAGCTCCGGTCTATAGCTCCCAGTGTGAGCGACGCAGAAGATGGGTGATTTCTGCATTTCCAATTGAGGTACCGGGTTCATCTCACCGGGGAGTGCCAGACAGTAGGTGCAGGAAAGTGGGTGCGGCACACCATGTGCAAGCCGAAGCAGGGCGAGGCATCACCTCACCTGGGAAGCGCAAGGGGTCAGCGAATTCCCTTTCCTAGTCAAAGACAGGGGTGATAGACGGCACCTGGAAAATCGGGTCACTCCCACCCTAATACTGCGCTTTTCCAATGGGCTTAAAAAACGGCACACCAGGAGATTATATCCCGCACCTGGCTCGGAGGGTCCTACGCCCACGGAGTCTCACTCATTGCTAGCACAGCAGTCCAAGATCAAACTGCAAGGCGGCAGCCAGGCTGGGGAAAGGGCACCTGCCATGGCCCAGTTAGTTGTTTGATTAGGTAAACAGAGCAGCCGGGGAAGCTGGAACTGGGTGGAGCCCACCACAGCTCAAGGAGGCCTGCCTGCGTCTGTAGGCTCCACTTCTGGGGGCAGGGCACAGACAAAAAGACAGCAGTAACCTCTGCAGACTTAAATGTCCCTCTCTGACAGCTTTGAAGAGAGTAGTGGTTCTCCCAGCACGCAGCTTGAGATCTGAGAACAGGCAGACTGCCTCCTCAAGTGGCTCCCTGACCACTGAGGAGCCTAACTGGGAGGCACCAACCAGTAGGTGCAGACTGACACCTCACACGGCCGGGTACTCCTCTGAGACAAAACTTCCAGAGGAATGATCAGGCAACAGCATTTGAGGTTCACCAATATACAATGTTCTGCAGCCACCGCTAATGATACCCAGGCAAACAGGGTCTGGAGTGGACCTCTAGAAAACTCCAACAGACCTGCAGCTGAGGGTCCTGTCTGTTAGAAGGAAAACTAACAAAAAGAAAGGACATTCACACCAAAAACCCATCTGTACGTCACCATCATCAAAGACCAAAGGTAGATAAAACCACAAAGATGGGGAAAAAACAGAGCAGAAAAACTCAAAACTCTAAAAATCAGAAGGCCTCTCCTCCTCCAAAGGAATGCAGCTCCTCACCAGCAATAGAACAAAGCTGGAAAGAGAATGACTGACAAGTTGAGAGAAGAAGGCTTCAGATGATCAAACTACTCCAAGCTACAGGAGGAAATTCGAACCAATGGCAAAGAAGTTAAAAGCTTTGAAAAAAATTAGACGAATGGATAACTAGAATAACCAATGCAGAGAAGTCCATAAAGGACCTGATGGAGCTGAAAACCAAGGCACGAGAGCTACATGACAAATGCAGAAGCCTCAGTAGCCGATGCGATCAACTAGAAGAAAGAGTATCAGTGATGGAAGACAAAAAGAATGAAATGAAGTGAGAAGAGAAGTTTAGAGAAAAAAGAATAAAAAGAAACCAACAAAGCCTCCAAGAAATATGGGACTATGTGAAAAGACCAAATCTACGTCTGATTGGTGTACCTGAAAGTGATGGGGAGAATGGAACCAAGTTGGAAAACACTCTGCAGGATATTATCCAGGAGAACTTCCCCAATATAGCAAGGCAGGCCAACATTCAGATTCAGGAAATACAGAGAATGCCACAAAATTACTCCTCGAGAAGAGCAACTCCAAGACACATAATTGTCAGATTCACCAAAGTTGAAATGAAGGTAAAAATGTTAAGGGCAGGGCAGCCAGAGAGAAAGGTCGGGTTATCCACAAAGGGAAGCCCATCAGACTAACAGCAGATCTCTCGACAGAAACTCTATCAGCCAGAAGAGAGTGGGGACCAATAATCAACATTCTTAAAGAAAAGAATTTTCAACCCAGAATTTCATATCCAGCCAAACTAAGCTTCATAAGTGAAGGAGAAATAAAATCCTTTACAGACAAGCAAATGCTGAGAGATTTTGTCACCACCAGGCCTGCCCTAAAAGAGCTCCTGAAGGAAGCACTAAACATGGAAAGGAAAAACCAGTAACAGCCACTGCAAAAACATGCCAAATTGTAAAGACCATCAAGGCTAGGAAGAAACTGCATCAACTAATGAGCAAAATAACCAGCTAACATCATAATGACAGGATCAAATTCACACATCACAATATTAACTTTAAATGTAAATGGACTAAATGTTCCAATTAAAAGACACAGACTGGCAAATTGGATAAAGAGTCAAGACCCATCAGTGTGCTGTATTCAGGAAACCCATCTCACGTGCAGAGACACACATAGGCTCAAAATAAAGGGATGGAGGAAGATCTACCAAGCAAATAGAAAACAAAAAAAGGCAGGGGTTGCAATCCTAGTCTCTGATAAAACAGACTTTAAACCAACAAAGATAAAAAGAGACAAAGAAGGCCATTACATAATGGTAAAGGGATCAATTAATAAGAAGAGCTAACTATCCTAAATATATATGCACCCAATACAGGAGCACCCAGATTCATAAAGCAAGTCCTTAGTGACCTACAAAGAGACTTAGACTCCCACAGAATAATAATGGGAGATTTTAACACTCCACTGTCAACATTAGACAGATCAACAAGAAAAAAGTTAACAAGGATATCCAGGAATTGAACTCAGCTCTGCACCAAGCAGACCTAATAGACATCTACAGAACTGTCCACCCTAAATCAACAGAATATACATTCTTTTCAGCTCCACACCACACCTACTCCAAAATTGACCACATAGTTGGAAGTAAAACTCTCCTCAGCAAATGTAAAAGAACAGAAATTATAACAAACTGTCTCTCAGACAACAGTGCAATCAAACTAGAGCTCAGGATTAAGAAACTCACTCAAAACCGCTCAACTACATGGAAACTGAACAACCTGCTCCTGAATGACTACTAGGTACGTAATGAAATGAAGGCAGAAATAATGATGTTCTTTGAAACCAACGAGAACAAAGACACAACGTACCAGAATCTCTGGGACACATTCAAAGCAGTATGTAGAGGGAAATTTATAGCACTAAATGCCCACAAGAGAAAGCAGGAAAGATCTAAAACTGACACCCTAACATCACAATTAAAAGAACTAGAAAAGCAAGAGCAAACACATTCAAAAGCTAGCAGAAGGCAAGAAATAACTAAGATCAGAGCAGAACTGAAGGAAATAGGACACAAAAAACCCTTCAAAAAATTAATGAATTCAGGAGCTGGTTTTTTGAAAAGATCAACAAAATTGATAGACTGCTAGCAAGACTAATAAAGAAGAAAAGAGAGAAGAATCAAATAGACACAATAAAAAATGAGAAAGGGGATATCACCACGATCCCACAGAAATACAAACTACGATCAGAGAATACTGCAAACACCTCTATGCAAATAAACTAGAAAATCTAGAAGAAATGGATAAATTCCTCAACACATACATCCTCCAAAGACTAAACCAGGAAGAAGGTGAATCCCTGAATAGACCAATAACAGGCTCTGAAATTGTGGCAATAATCAATAGCTTACCAACCAAAAAAAGTCCAGGACCACTGAATTCTACCAGAGGTACAAAGAGGAGCTGGTACCATTCCTTCTGAAAATGTTCCAATCAATAGAAAAAGAGGGAATCCTCCATAACTCATTTTATGAGGCCAGCATCATCCTGATACCAAAGCTGGGCAGAGACACAACCAAAAAAGAGAATTTTAGACCAATATCCTTGATGAACATTGATACAAAAATCCTCAATAAAATACTGGCAAACCGAATCCAGCAGCACATCAAAAAGCTTATCCACCATAATCAAGTGGGCTTCATCCCTGGGATGCAAGGCTGGTTCAACATACACAAATCAATAAATGTAATCCAGCATATAAACAGAACCAAAGATAAAAACCACATGATTATCTCAATAGATGCAGAAAAGGCCTTTGACAAAATTCAACAACGCTTCATGCTAAAAACTCCCAAAAAATTAGGTATTGATGGGACATATCTCAAAATAATAAGAGCTATCTATGACAAACCCACAGCCAATATCATACTGAATGGGCAAAAACTGGAAGCATTCCTTTGAAAACGGGCACAAGACAGGGATGCCCTCTCTCACCACTCCTATTCAACATAGTGTTGGAAGTTCTTACCAGGGCAATCACTCAGGAGAAGGAAATAAAGGGTATTCAATTAGGAAAAAGGAAGTCAAATTGTCCCTGTTTGCAGATGATATGATTGTATATCTAGAAAACCCCATTGTCTCAGCCCAAAATCTCCTTAAGCTGATAAGCAACTTCAGCAAAGTCTCAGGATACAAAATCACTGTGCAAAAATCACAAGCATTCTTATACACCAATAACAGACAGAGAGCCAAATCATGAGTGAACTCCCATTCACAATTGCTTCAAAGAGAATAAAATACCTAGGAATCCAACTTACAAAGGATGTGAAGGACCTCTTCAAGGAGAACTACAAACCACTGCTCAATGAAATAAAAGAAGATACAAACAAATGGAAGAACATTCCATGCTCATGGGTAGGAAGAATCAATATCGTGAAAATGGCCATACTGCCCATGGTAATTTATAGATTCAATGCCATCCCCATCAAGCTACCAATGACTTTCTTCACAGAATTGGAAAAAACTACTTTAAAGTTCATATGGAACCAAAAAAGAGCCCGCATCACAAAGTCAATCCCAAGCCAAAAGAACAAAGCTGGAGGCATCACCCTACCTGACTTCAAACTATACTACAAGGCTATAGTAACCAAAACAGCATAGTACCAAAACAGAGATATAGACCAATGGAACAGAACAGAGCCCTCAGAAATAATGCCATGTATCTACCACTATCTGATCTTTGACAAACCTGACAAAAACAAGCAATGGGGAAAGGATTCCCTACTTAATAAATGGTGCTGGGAAAACTGGCTAGCCATATGTAGAAAGCTGAAACTGGATCCCTTCCTTACACCTTATACAAAAATTAATTCAAGATGGATTAAAGACTTACATGTTAGACCTAAAACCATAAAAACCCTAGAAGAAAACCTAGGCATTACCATTCAGGACATAGGCATGGGCAAGGACTTCGTGTCTAAAACACCAAAAGCAACGGCAACAGAAGCCAAAATTGACAAATGGGATCTAATTAAACTAAAGAGCTTCTGCACAGCAAAAGAAACTACATGAGAGTGAACAGGCAACCTACAGAATGGGAGAAAATCTTTGCAACCCACTCATCTGACAAAGGGCTAATATCCAGAATCTACAATGAACTCAAACAAATTTACAAGAAAAAAACAAACAACCCCATCAAAAAGTGGGCAAAGGATATGAACAGACACTTCTCAAAAGAAGACATTTATGCAGCCAAAAAACACATGAAAAAATGCTCATCATCACTGGCCATCAGAAAAATGCAAATCAAAACCACAATGAGATATCATCTCACACCAGTTAGAATGGCGATCATTAAAAAGTCAGGAAACAATAGGTGCTGGAGAGGATGTGGAGAAATAGGAACACTTTTACACTGTTGTTGGGACTGTAAACTAGTTCAACCATTGTGGAAGACAGTGTGGCGATTCCTCAGGGATCTAGAACTAGAAATACCATTTAACCCAGCCATCCCATTACTGGGTATATACCCAAAGGACTATAAATCATGCTGCTATAAAGACACATGCACACGTATGTTTATAGCAGCACTATTCACAATAGCAAAGACTTGGAACCAACCTAAATGTCCAACAACGATAGACTGGATTAAGAAAATGTGGCACATATATACCATGGAATACCATGCAGCCACAAAAAATGATGAGTTCATGTCCTTTGCAGGGACATGGATGAAACTGGAAACCATCATTCTCAGCAAACTATCGCAAGGACAAAAAACCAAACACCGCATGTTCTCACTCATAGGTGGGAACTGAACAATGAGAACACATGGACACAGGAAGGGGAACATCACACACCGGGGACTGTTTGGGGTGGGGGGAGGGGGGAGGGATAGCATTAGGAGATATACCTAATGCTAAATGACAAGTTAGTGGGTGCAGCACACCAACATGGACCATATATACATATGTAACAAACCTGCATGTTGTGCACATGCACCCTAAAACTTAAAGTATAATAATAATAAAATTTTTAAAAAAGAAATTAAAATGGAAATTTGAAAATATCTTAAGACAAGCAAAAAAGGAGAAACAAGAAACCAAAATTTATGGGATACAGCAAAAGAAGTTCTAAGCGAGAAGCAATAAACACCTACAAATAAAACTGGACTCCTATTTCTCACCATATACAAAAATTAACTCAAGATTGATTAATGACTAAAATGTAAGACCTAAAATTATAAGAATCCTTAAAGAATTCGTAGGAAAAACTATTTTGGACATTGGCCTAGGCAAAGAATTTATGACTAAGTCCTGAAAAGCAAATGCAACAAAAATGAAAGTTGACAATTATAACCTAATTAAACTAAGGAGCTTGCGCACAGCAGAATAAACTGTCAACAGAGTAGAAAGATAACCTACAGAATGGGAGAAAATATTTTCAAACTATAAATCTGATGAAGGACTTAGATCCATAATCTATAAAGAACCTAAATAAATCAACAAGAAAAAAAAATAACTCCATTAAAAAGTAGGCAAAGGATGTGAACAGACACTTCTCAAAAGAAAACATAGAAGTGGCCAACAAACATATGAAAAAATGCTCAATATTATTAATAATCAGAGAAATGCTAATTAAAACAATGAGATACCATCTCCCATCAGTCAAAATGGCTGTTATTAAAAAGTCAAAATATAACAGATGTTGGCAAAGAAGTGAAGAAAAAAGAACATTTATACACTATTGGTGGGAATGTAAATTATTTCAGCCATTGTGGAAGGCAGTTTAGAAACTCCTCAAGGAACTAAAAATAGATATACTCTTTGACCCAGCAATTTCATTACTGGGTATCTACCCAAAGAAAAAGAAGTAATTCCCCAAAAGACACTTGTACTAGTATGTTTATCACAGAACTATTCACAATAGCAGAGTCAACCTAGGTGCCTATCAGTGGTGGATCGGATGAAGAATATGTGGTATATAGACAACATGCAATACTACACAGCCACAAAAAAAGAATGAAATCAGGTCCTTTGCAGTAACATAGATGTAGAAACCAATGTCTTAAGTGAATTAATGCAGAAACACAAAACCAAATACTGCATGTTCCCACTTACAAGTGGGAGCTAAATATTGGGTACACACAGACATAAAGATGAAAACAATAGATACTAGGGACTCCAAAAGGAGAAACAAAGAATTCAGGGAAAGGGTTGAAAAACTACCTATTGGGTACTATGCTCACCATCTGAGTGGTAAGTTCAATAGAAGTCAAACGCTAGCATTATACAATACACCCATGTAACAAACTTGCATATGTACCCCTTGAATCTAAAACTTAAAAATAAAAATAAAAATAAAAAAGAAGAAACATCTCAAATAAGTAACCTAAGATTGTACCTTAATGAACTAGAAAAAGAAAAACAACTTAAGCCCAAAGTTTGTAGAAGATAGGAAATAATAATGATCAGAGCAGAAATAAATGAAATAGAGATAAGAAAAAAGTAGAAAAGATCAATGAAACTAAGAGTTGTTTTGCTGAAAAATCAGCAAAATTGACAAATCTTTGGCTAGAAAGATTTGATTAAGAAAAAAAGAGCAAACACTCAAAGGTATAAATAAAAGAAACTACATTACAACCGAAACCACAAAACTACAAACGATCATAAAAGACAACTATGAACAATTATACACCAAAAAAATGGATAACCTAGAAGAAATGGATGAATTGCCGGGAACATACAACCTATCAAGACTGAATCATGAAGAAATAGAAAAGCTGAACAGATCAATAATGAGTAAAGAGATTTAATCAGTAATAAATTCTTCCATTAAAGAAAATCCCAGAAACTGATGGCTTCACTGCAAAATTCTACCAAATGTTTAAAGAAAAACTAATACCAATCCTGAAACTCTTTCAGAAAAACTGAAGAGGAGAAGTACTTCCAAACTCATATTATGAGGCCAGGATTATCCTGATACCAAAGCCAGAAAAGGATACACGTAAAGAATAAAAATCCAATATTTCTGATGAACATAGATGCAAAAATTCACAACAAAGTACTATTAAGTGAAAATCAATCATACATTAAAAAGATCATACATCAGGTCAAGTGGGATTTCTACCTGGCATTCAAGGATGGTCTGAAGTATGCAAAACAATAAATGTAATAAATATATTAACAGAATGAAGTATTAAAATTATATGATCATTTCAATAGATGCAGATAAGGCATTTGAAAAAAAATAAGATCATTTCATGATAATAAAAACTCTCAACAAATTAGATATTACAACTAATAAATGAATTTCGTAAGTTGCAGGATACAAAATCAACATACAAAAATCAATAGTGTTTCTATACACTAACAATAAACTACCGGAAAAAAGAAATCAAGGAAGGAATCCCATTTACGATTGCATAAAAAATTCTTAGGAATAAATTTAACCAAGGAGGTGAAATATCTGTATCCTGAAAACTGTAAAACACTGATGAAATAAGTTGAAGATGACACGAATAAATGGAAAGATATTCTGTGTTTGTGGATTGGCAGAATTAAATGTCCTTACTACCAAAGCAATCCATAGAGCCAAAGCAATTCCTATCAAAATTTCAATGACTTTTTTTTTTTACAGAAATAGAAAAAAAGTCCTAAAATTTATAAGGAATAATAGAAGACCCCAAATAGCCAAAGCAATCTTGAGCAAAAAGAACCAAGCTAGATGTAGCGTACTACCTAATCACAAAATAAACTACGAATATAGAGCAATCAAAACAGCACGGTATCAGCATAAAAACAGACATATAGACCAATGGAACAAAATAGGGAGCCCAGAAATAAATGGATGCATTTATAGTCAATTGGTATTTCACAAAGATGACAAGCACACACAGTGGGAAAAGGACAGTCTCTTAAATAAATGTTTTTTGGAAAAGCAAATATCTGAAAGCAGAGGAATTTAATTATACTCGCATCTTACACTATATACAAAAATTAACTCAAAATGAATTAAAGGTTTAAATGCAAGACCTGAAACTGTAAAACCACTAGAAGAAAACATAGGGGAAAAGCTCCATGACATTGGTTTGACAAAAACTTTTTAGATATGACATCAAAAGCACAGGCAGGGAAGCTAAAATAGACAAATGTGATTACATCAAATCAAAAAGCTTCTGTACTGCAAAGGAAACAATCAACAAGACAATCTACAGAATGGCAGAAAATATTTGCTAACTATATCTGATAAGGCGTTAATATCAAAAACATATAAGAAATTCAAACAACTCAAAGAAAGAAAACAAATTACTCAATTAAAAACGGGTAAAAACTTGAATAGACATTTCACATAGGAAGACAAACAAAATGGCCAACAAATATATGAAAAGTGCTCAACATCACTTGTCATCAGGGAAGTGCAAATCAAAACTACAATGAGATATCATCTCACCCCAGTTAGAATGGCTTTTATCAAAAAGACAGAAGATTACTAGTGTTGGTGAGGATGTGAAGAAAAAGGAACACTTACACACTTGGTGAAAATGTAAATTACAGCCATTATGGGAAACAGTATGGGAGTTCCTCAAAAAACTAAAAAATAGAACTACTATATGATCCAGCAACTCACTTTGGGGTACATATCCAATGGAAATGAAATGAGTAATCTTGAATAAATATCTGCACTCTCATGTTCACAGCAGCATTATTCACAATAGCCAGGATATGGAATCAACTTGTGACCATCAACAGATGAATGAATAAAGAAAATGTGGTAAATATATACAATGCAATATTACTCAGCCTTTAAAAAGAGAGAACTAATGTAAATTGCCACAACATGAATGAACCTGACCCTAAGTGAGATACTCTAGGAACAGTAAGACAATACTACATGATCTCATCTATATGTGAAAAATCTAAAGAAGTCGAAGTCACAGAAGTAGAGAATAGTAGGGCAACTGCCAGGGGCTGGGTGAGACAGGAAATGGGGAGATGTTGGTCAAGGGGTACAAAGTTTCACTTAAGTAGGATGAATAAGTCCTGGAGATTTAATGTACAACATGGATACTATAGTAAATAATAATGTATTACACACTTGAAATTTGCAGAGAGGAGATCTTAAATGTTCTTACTACATATACACACACAAAGTCTACGTGAGGAGGTGGATGTATTAATTAGCTTGATAGTGGTAATCACTTCACAGTGTATACAAATATCAAAAGACCACATTGTACACTTTAAGTATAAAATATAGAATTTTTGTTTCTCAACTATACATCAATAAAGCTGGAAGCAAAAAAGATACTCTTATACATTGCCAGTGGCAATGTAAATTGATAAAATTTCCATAGGAAACAATTCACAAATATCTACCATAATTAAAAATTATTTTCCACTCTCAGGAATTTATCTTACTGATATGTTATACATGTACAAAATTTTGCAGAAATATCATTTGTAGTAGCACAGTATTGGAAATCTAAATCCCCATCAATAGGGACTAATCAAATAGTAACAGAAGATTGGAAATCTAAATGCCCATGAATATAGGCTAAATTGGTATATAACTGTATGTCTATATCAATAACTATATACAAATTCAAAAATATTTTTACTGGAAATAAAAACAAACTAAAGAATGAAATATATAGTGTGTAGCTGCTTTATAACAAAGAGGAACAATATATGTGCATGATTGCGTGTGCACTGAACATCTCCGGAAGGATACGTAAGTAAGTAGTAACAGGTGTTTTTGCTGGGAGGGCAACTGTTGGCTGAGTAACAGAAGTAGGAAGGACATATTTCAATGTACACTCTTTTGAACATTTAAAAATGTTAAGTATATCAATATATCTATATTAATATAGATATAAATATATAGGTATTTAAATACAAATATATAGATATATTCAACATATCTGCAATCCATATACATATTTATGAATTATAGATATATTTAACATTTAAATATATTTAACATAAAGCTATACAAGTACATATATTTAAATATATATTTAAATATATATTTATAAATATATATAATACATATTTATAACATATATATTATGAATATATGTTAAATATATAGATACATGAAAACTGTTATGCTTTCCTACTACTTTGGTTATGCAAATAAATGCAAATGTTTATTTCTTATAATCTGAGATCTAAAGAAAAAACTTTATTTATAAAAGGAAGCCGCTGGGCATGCCGGCTCACGTCTGTAATCCCATGACTTTGGGAGGCCAAGGTGGGCGGATCATCCAAGGTCAGGAGTTCAAGACCAGCCTGGTCAACATGGTGAAACCCCATCTCTACTAAAAATACAAAAATTAGCCAGGCATGGTGGCGCACCCCTGTAATCCCAGCTACTTGGGAGGCTGGGGCACAAGAATAGCTTGTATCTGGGAAGTGCAGGTTCCAGTGAGCTGAGATCGTGCCACTGCACTCCAGCCTGCGCGACAGAATGAGACTCCATCTTAATAAAATAAAATGAAGCAAAATACAAACAGGCAAAGGAGAGAGACTTTGTAAAACTAGGAATAAGAAATAAAAATATACACACACACACAAATACAAATAATACCTCTGTAACTTCTATTTTTCTAGACCTCATAATTTATACAAAATGAAGACAAACAAGATCATATTAGAATATTGACAGGCTTTAAATATTAGAAGTGTCTAAAATATTATAAATAAGAGAGTCATAAGATCATCATAAGTTATTAAAATTAATGTTTTCTTTCAAATGTCAAACATTGCAAAAATAATAATTTTAGTAAAGCTAGAATTGACAAATTCTTTGTAGGCTTTACTTAACAGCCTGTCAGTCATTCTGATCACAATATCAACTAATTGGAAATTCCAGGAAAGCTATTGCTCAAATAACTTCAAATCCTTTATTTTAAATATGCCTCTCAGCTACTGGATTAATATAGTTTCATGCCTTTGGTTTTCAGGCTGGAAAATGAAACGAAGAAACCAATGATGCGGAAAAGGCATAAAGGTTTCTCTTCCCATGAAGGTAGCAGCTTGTGCTTATTAAAACTCTAAGTTCTCCAGTGTCTGATCTGCTTTGAGGCATATAATTAAAATATGCCATCTTCCAGCATCAGAGAAATATAAATACACAAACAAGCTGGCCTTTGTTCAAAACCAGCCAAAGATGTTGTCTTAGAATAGACACAATACTAATTAATTTTTCAGGATAAATAATATAAACAATACTCTAGTGACCACATGCTTTTGCAGAGTTTACACCCACTTCCCCAATGTTTACATGAGTTAGAAATGCTTATTGATTGAAAACTTATTGATTGAAAAACTAGCTTTCTTAAACTAAGATTTCCACTTATCCCTTGTGGGAAGGATTCACAATTCATACTACAGTCTGTATAACCACTGGTCTGCTCTCTGTGAGCTTATATTTGATTAATAATTTCATGATTACAACATAATTAATTATATATCATAGAGTTATATATTCTCAATTAATATTTTTCTTACCAAAAATAACATCCAGCAATTTTAAAGACATATATGAGCTACCATACATGTCTCAAGTCAACTGAGAATTGTGGAAAAGATTCTGGCATCCAGCATGTATAAGCCAGTTGAGAAGCAACCCTTAGAAAATGGTACCCTGGTGAGACTTATTTATTTCCGCACAGGTAAGCTGAATATTAAATTACATTCATTATAGCTGAATATCAGTGAAGTCTCTCAGTGACTTTAATCACTGATAAAATTAATTTTATCTTTTGTTGTTTTAGGAGGGGTTTAAACTAAGACATGACTTACAGATAAAGAATATAGCAAAGTAAAATAAATACAATATATGTAATAAATCTTAGGTGAAAGAAAAGTAGGGTAGAAAAACAAAAAGGAAGATAGAAGAAGGTTAGTATACAAACTGCATGCACAAAATCTTGTGTGTTCAACCCAAATCAAGAGATAAATGTTTGGAAAATTTACTGTATTTATACAGCAAATATACACCTGATATAAAGGAAAAACACACCCTTTTAAAATGAAATTGAAGAGAAATTTCTTCTATGGATCATCTTGAGAAAAACTGTAATGTCAGACATTATATTTATATTAAATACAGTGACAAGTTAGTTTTCACAGACTTATTCTTACCTTTCTTGATATAGGCACATGAAACCAAGTCAAATTACATTTCAATAAAAACAATGTAATGATGAAGAAGGAGGACAATTTATAAATAAATATTCGTGTGACTCTGATGGCCTAGTTTAATCACAGGATCTATGAGCAATTTTAATAATGTCAGGGTTATATAGGATGATTACTATCCTAATATATGATATTATCAAAAGGAATTAATGTGATATTTAAGTATTTTAAGGCATTGAAAATTCACCCTGGGCCATTACATAAATCATTTATTAATTCCAACTGATTACTAATTAAGATGGCTAAAATCATTAGGCTGGGTTCACCAGAGCCATTTAAATCCAGCCTAATCAATGATAGGAAATATGGTCAATAATTAAAATATTTTTTTCAATAGCTTTCTTTCAGACTCTAAATTCTAACAACAAATATTCATAAAAACTTTTAAGAGTCAACAAATGTAAAGCTTAAAGCAGCTATTATAATACATAGGAAATTATGTTCTTTTCTGTATGGGAGGTACATGTGGATACCCAAGGCAATTCCTCTAGATGCGATCTCTGACTTCTTTCCCTACTAAGCACTAAATATATATAAATATTTATTAAAATTTAATTCTCACAATAACTTCAGGAAGTAGGTATCCTTTCCCCTATTGTACAAATAAACTAAGCCCAGAGAAATTACACAAGATGCCCAATGTCATACAACTGGTAAATGGTAGAGATCAGATGCCAGGCCATCTCCATAGTGTCTATCACTCTATTTCAGGAGAATAAAGAAGACATTTCGGGGCATAAGATTAATTTCTGTTTTCTTCTTGGAGACTGTTTTATGAACAGTGATGACAGAGTTCTTCATGTTTGTGTCAATTTGATCATCATTTTTTGCCAATAAAGTTTTCTAAAGAAAAGAATTGCATGCTTAAAAACATAATAAAAAGAAAATGAAAATTCAGATTTCTTATTCTAAGCTTGGCCCATTTGTCTTTTCTGTCTTCATTCCCTTTTGCTCCAAATGGATATCTCCTCAATTTCTCACAAGAAAAACAGTGAGGATAACTAGTTCTGATAACTGGTACTGAGACGTGAGGTACTACTGTGCCAAAAACCTAATATATGTATCACTGGCTTTGGGATCAGGTGGTGACCATGAAGCTCCTTTCTAGGAGGCTAGAAAAATGAAGATCCATTTAATGTATTAGTAATATGTTTGGTTAAAATAAATGCTGCCTGTGATAATTTGGAGACAGAAAATATACTTAGTAAACTTGTAAACTTAGGCAAGCAGGTTCCTGGCTAGTATATTAAAAATGTGAATAGGTTTCTGCTAGGTGTTTGGTAATATTCCCCAAAAAATGGACAAACTCAGCAAAGAACTGACTGGTTTGCAAATAGAATTAAGAGGACATATGGCGATCCCAGAAATGTTGGGCTTTGCTGTGCAGGAAAATAAAATTGTTTCTCATTCTTAGCCTTGCCAGTCAGCAAAACATCAAATTAATGGATAACCTGGAGGCAAAAATCAAAGCATATATATGATGTACATATGTATATATACGTATTATAATGTCTGACACCTAATAGGCATTTAATAAATTTAAGACTTTCCTTTATAACAGGACAGGGTTCATGCAATGGAATATTATATAGCAGTTAAAATGAACGAAGTACGTCCTAAATTAATCAACATGGATAAAATTCAGAAATATAATGCTGAGTGATGAAAGCAAACTACAAAAGAAGTCATAAACTGTGATATTTATTAAACTTTTAAAACATAAACTTAGTGTTGTTTATGGATATACATATATGCAAAGCTGTGCAAAGGTATACATTTGCACACACCAACTTCAGGATAGTAAACTGTAACTTAAAAAGGAAGGGAGACTGAGTGCGGTGGCTCACACATGTAATCCCAGCACTTTGGGAGGTTGAGATGGGCAGATTGCTTGAGCCCAGGAGTTCAAGACCAGCCTGGGCAACATGGCGAAACCCTGCTTCTACAAAAAAATACAAAAATTAGCTGGGTGTGGTAGTGTATCTGTGGTCGCAGCTACTCAGAAGGCTGAGGTGGGTGAATTGCTTGAGTCCAGGAGGTTGTGGCTGCAGTGAGCCATGATTGTGCCACTGCACCAGCAGCCTGGGTGACGACACAGCGAGATTGCCACAAAAAAAAAAAAAAAAAAAAAAGGAATGGAAAGGATAGGGCTTTAGCTGTTATCTGTGTATCTGTAACATTTTCTTTCTTTACAAAAATACTGTATGAAAAAATATGGCAAAATGTTAATTCATTAAATGTGAGTGGTGGGTATATGGGTATCCTCTAAATATCTTCTAAAATGGTTTATTCTTCTGAGTTTTTGAAACATTTCATAATTAAAACTAAAAATAATATTAAATAGAAATGAATAAAAAGCATTCCTTTTAGTATACAGCTTTAGATTATTTATTCATGGGTGAAGAATAAGATAATATTTAAATATGAAATTACGCATTTTGCTACTTGGATGCTTTTGCTATACATTGGTCTTTTTTTTTTGAAACAGAGTCTTGCTCTGTTGCCCAGGCTGGAGTGCAGTGAGGCTCACTCCACGCCGAGTGGAGTGCACTCGGCTCACTGCCAGCTCTGCAGTGAACTCCTAGGTTCACGCCATTCTCCTGCCTCAGCCTCCCGAGTAGCTGGGACTACAGGCGCCCACCACCACGCCCAGCTAATTTTTGTATTTTTAGTAGAGACGGGGTTTCACCATGTTAGCCAGGTTGGTCTCAATCTCCTGACTTTGTGATCCACCCGCCTCGGCCTCCCAAAGTGCTGGGATTACAGGCATGAGCCACCGCGCCCGGCAGCTATACACTGGTCTGTGTGTGTGTGTGTGTGTGTGTGTGTGTGTGTGTGTGTAATGTAATGAAAGAGAACCCAATTTATCCACATCTTTGCCTGACTAGCCACCAAAGAAGAAATATTACCCTAATTATTTGCACCAGTTATTTTTAAAGGATTCCTTGCCAGTGCATGCAGTCAATTACAACATACCCACTGGTACTATACAGAACCTGGAGAAAAGCACAGGTCAAGTAGGGGATTATAATTAAATATCTGAATGAAGAAGGAAACAACTTGTTTGCCACAGAAAGACAGGTTAGAGTTTGAAAACAAGATGTACTCACATTTTTCTTGCCTAGTCCATCAAGTTTCAACAAGCAAGCAGTACATATTTTCATCAGACATTTGCCATAGACTCAAAGGATCATCTTAATTTCCAGTCTTTCTCCACATTTTCTAACACAGGCTTATGTACCTGAATCATTTGCCTCATGAAAGGAAGGGATCGGGTTCATGGACAGAGGGGAAGTGGTGAGGACAGGGACTACTGTCGGACAGTGCAGGTAAAGAGTTAGTGATTTTTGTAGTATTGACTAATAAATCCAAACTTTTCCATAAGCTGAAAATTTTTTAAAAAAGAAAGTGCTAAACACAATTTCTAAATCCCTAAAAAATTCAGACACTTTTTTAAAGCTGTCATTTTTCTTAAGTGGATAATTGTCATGGGATCTAGTGGAGATACATGCTTTAATATTATGCAGTGACTGTCATTTATCCAACACTATGACAAAGGTGTTCCATGCATATTAGTTTATCCACACAATAACTTTAGGTTAGTCTATTTATTTGGAAGTTTATTGTTCAACTCCCTACATTTACCAGGTCACATTAGGAAGCAAAGGTTTTTTTATAATATAAAATATTCACTTATCCACTAAACTATAACATTAGGCCCCCTTCCAAGATGCTTCCCAGTTTCACATGTAGCAGTAGCACATAGCTGCAATTATAACTTGTTTCATATTAGATGAAATAGTTATGTGTATAACTCTATGTTTTTAAGATAAAAATCCTAATAAAACTTATTTTTTATTATTTACCATGAAATCAGGCTCTTTTTCAAAATGGATTCATGTTTTCCTATTTCCAATTTTCTTTAACAATAAACATCCTCTCTTCTATTATGATCATGATTTTTAGATGAATAAATTGATACCAAAAGGCAGTTTTTCTTTATTTCTTTCATATCTGTAGAAAACCACACCAAGAGCCTCGACAAATCCAGATCTAACTTACTTCAATATGCAGCCTAACTCTTCAAGTAAAAATGTAAGAGCCACCAAAATTGAGGCACTACTGTAGGAGGCCTGGAAAGACAATGAAGAGACAGTAAAAGGCTATTGGTGAATGTGAATGGAAACTTTGTGAGTTACTAGCAAACACAAGACTTTTGAAACTGGAAACACTTGTTCACCATGGTAGCAAAAACCACCACAAGTCAGAAATCAGTGTGACACTTTTTCCCCACGACGCTAGAAACCACCTTGAGATAATTTCTGATATAGTTTCAACTCAGCTTCACCCATTTCAGACCCTTTGCATTTTGTCTATTTCTGTTGGTGATTCTGAGTCAAATCTATTAAAATGTATTCATCTGGCTCAATAAGGGTGCTTTCTTTTTTTTTTTTTTTTTTTTTTTTTTTTTTTGTAGATGGAGTCTCACTCCTCACTCTGTGGCCCAGGCTGGAGTGCAGTGGCAGGATCTCGGCTCACTGAAAGCTCCACCTCCCAGGTTCACGCCATTCTCCCGCCTCAGCCTCCCAAGTAGCTGGGACTACAGGTGTCCGCCACCACACCTGGCTAATTTTTTTGGATTTTTAGTAGAGACAAGGTTTCACCGTGTTAGCCAGGATGGTCTCAATCTCCTGACCTCGTGATCCGCCTGCCTCCGCTTCCCAAGGGTGCTTCCTAAGGAATATGTGCTTCATACCATGGTATTCTACATTACCTCTTCATTTCAACATACTAATGCCAAACGCTCTGCTAGACCTGAGCAATAAGAAGTTGGCTCAGACTTAGTCTACACCCTCAGGGACCTGACACAAATAAACAAGTTCATTAAATTGTCTTATGCCCAATCATCACATAATCTAGAAATATCAGTTGTACAATAGTTAAAAATAGGGTAATCTAATGAGGTGCAGTTTAATAGCATTTAAACTGGAAGTGCCATAATGCTAAGCAATGAAGGATCTCTTTTTCAGGTCATCAAAGTATTTCATCATATATTTCAAAGTAACTATGAGAAAGAATTTTGAATATTTTTACAACAAAGAAATGATAAATGCTTGACATGATGGATATGCAAGATACCCTGCTGATTTAATCATTATACAATGTATATATCCATTAAGACATCACACTGTGTCCCATTAATATGTGCAATTATTATGTGTCAATTAAAAATGATCTAAAACTGTAAAAAAATCTAACTTAGTCATGAAGGAATGCATGGAGTTGCCTTCCCAATTGTGATAATGGGAAGAGCAGAGAAGGCACAAAAAACAAAGAAGCCCTTGTGTTAGAAAACAACTGAAGTCATTCCAGATTAATTAATAAAAATTTTATATGTATTATGCAAAACATATTAAAGGAAAATAAAATTGTCTTAAAAATCAGTAATTACTCAACTGATAGTGAACTTGAAACATTTTCAAAAGCAGTGATAAAAACTCAGTTCTGAAACAGAGTAATACTCTTATTCCAGAATATTCTGGGGGTACATAAAGGAGGATCAATTGGACGAGGACAGTGTAATGGAGGCATACATTCCAGAATAAAACGGAAACAACACTATTGCTCCTCCTGGCTAATGATGTTCACTAATTTCTCAATGAAGAGAAAATTCAGTTGATGGCAATACCCCATATATTCTATTTCTATTGTTCAGTTTACATTTAGCAAAATAGATAATTTTATAGGGGTCCCATTTCAGAGCATATTTATTCAATCCTTATTAAATAATAGCAAATTTATCCTAGCACTTTACTAGATACTAAGCATTTTAGAAACATAATGTATTGAATCATCACAACCATCCTTTGCTGGAGGTAATACTCTTACTCTTGTTTTACAGATGAGGAATCAGAGTCACAAAAAGGCTAAGAAGTTGAAGGTCACACAGGGAGTAGGTAGAGAGCCAGGATTCAAACCTAAGCAGCCTGTGCTATCTCTCTAACTAAAGAAAGTCCTCGGGTTTAATTATATTAATAAATTCATATTTAAAAACATTGAGTACTGGCTGGGCATGGTGGCTTATGCCTGTAATCCCAACACTTTGGGAGGCTGAGGCGTGCAGATTGCCTGAGGTCAGGAGTTCGAGACCAGTCTGGCCAACATGGTGAAACCCCGTATCTACTAAAAATACAAAAAAATTAGCTGGGCAGGGTGGCACGCACCTATAATCCCTGCTACTCAGGAGGCTGAGGCAGGGGAATTGCTTGAACTAGGAAGGTGGAGGTTGCAGTGAGCTGAGATCATGCCATTGTACTCCAGCCTGGCGACAGAGCAAGTCTCTGTCTCAAAAAAAAAAAAAAAAAAAAAAAAACAACCAAACAAAAAAACATTGAGTACTATCAACCAGGTACTATATGAAGCACAGGGCCACAGAGATGAACACTATTGTTTATGTTTATATGTAAATAATAAATACAATAAAGTCTCACAGAGACTAGGCTATATTTATAATGTCAGTGGACCACAAAGAAGTAGTGGTCAGCATGGAAACTGTTTGGCTGGTTGCCCTAACAGGTAACATTCAACTTGTTGCCTTTATTGACAAAAATAGAGATGCATTAGGTAATTGGCATCCTTAAAAAAATTCCATATTAGCATACCGTATTTATGTCTGAAAGTCTTATATATTACAACAGTCTCCTCTCCCTGTTTTATTCTTTTCCTCTTTTCTCTCTTTTCTGCCTTTTTCAATTCAATTCATATTTTTGAGCATACACTTGAATAAGACACTTTCTGCTCATTCATTATAAACAACATATTAGAATTTATGTTAAAGACAAAGAAGGCTCTTAAATAGAAGAAATCTTTAAAGAGTTTAGAAATTTTCATTCGCTCCTTAGCTTTCCCCTACCTCTGGCACATTTTGTGGCTTCTGTTTTATAACTGCAGACCCACAGACAGTTAGAGGCACACCTGTATAAACACCAAGGCCCAGAGATTTTCGTTGGTCTGCAGCCAGCACCAGGCATCATGCACTTTCATATTCTGTCTCACTTGAGCCCCATCAACACCTGAGGGAAAGCCCAAGACCAAGGGGCTAAACCCTGAGAAAGTTGGCACGGCGTAGCTATGGCTCCAACACCTGGGCTAAATGAGGAAGTATTTTTGATACTTCCTCATTTAGCCCAGGTGTTGGAGCCATAGCTACGCCGTGCCAAGTTTCTTAAAAAAAAAAAAAAGAAAAGAAAAGAAAATAATGCTTGACAGTTTTCAGAAACATTTCCTTCTTTATGATTTAAAATTCATCCCAGAGTGGCTGTGATATATGTGAATATAGCTAAATGCACAGAGAAATATCTGGGACAGATTCAAATGAATGAAATGTATTAATGATATTAGGGAAGGGGTACGGAGATGATTCCTGCATGATATTTTTTTAGTGACAACTGGTGACCTGATACCAGTGAAGTGTAAGATTGTGGTTTTCTTTCTCTTTCTCTCTTTTTCTCTCTTTCTCTCTTTCTCTCTCTCCCTTCCTCCCTCCGTTCCTCCCTCCCTCCCTCTCTCTCTCTTTCTTTCTTTTTGACGATCCTTGGTATTTTGGAAAATCTTTGTGGCTAAAATAAAAGAAACTTAAAGGACATTTGATGCAGAATACATAGCTCTCTATAGCGAATGTTGATCTCTATATCTCATTAATTCAGTTTAGGCAGAATGGAAATCATCTGACCATTCTGGCCCTGATACAGACTCTATTATTCTCATCCATGTGTTTCTATAGATAACATCTACTCCATCTCCAAAGGGAGAATGTCCTTAGATAGAGGGAAGTAAACTCAGGCCCTCTCTCACCAAAGACAAATCAAACTTGAGAGAACTGCAGATACCCTTCCACATTTGCAAAGCCCTTTCATAAAGTTCTAGCAATCCATGAAGGAAGTAAGGTCTGTATTATTATTGTCTCTCAAACTCTTCAAGTCTTTTCTTAAATGTCATCTGATCAGTCTTTCTCTGGCAATTCTTCATAAAGCAGCAATTATTTTCTTCCCTGGCTCCAGCCTTTCTTATTCCCTTGCTGGTTTAAGTTTTCACCATAGCACTTAACTCTATCTAGAACATTACACATTTATGTATTTATATAATGTCAGTCTCACTTGACTACAGTGAGAAGAGTGACTTTGAGTTGTTCACTGGTCTATCCCTGGGGCTTGGAATAGTGCCTGTCAGTTAGTTCATACTTACCCAATATTTGCTGAATGAATAAATATTGAATAAATGAGTAAATATAAGGGCTCAGAAGAGTGTAACTTGTTCAAGTAAGTTACAAAGCTAATTGGTAGTAGATTCTAGACTATACTTCGATCTTAAAAAATCTTTATCTTATCCTTTTTCTTTTCCTTTTTTTTTTTTGAAATGGAGTCTCGCTCTGTCGCCCAGGCTGGAGTGCAGTGGCCCGATCTCGGCTCACTACAAGCTCCCCATCCTGAGTTCACGCCATTCTCCTGCCTCAGCCTCCCGAGTAGCTGGGACTACAGGCACCCGCAACCACGCCCAGTCAATTTTTTTGTATTTTAGTAGAGACAGGGTTTCGCTGTGTTAGCCAGGATGGTCTCGATCTCATGACCTCATGATCTGCCCGCCTTGGCCTTCCAAAGTGCTGGGATTACAGGCGTGAGCCACCGCGCCCGGCCTGGCCTATCTTTTCCTTTATCTATGGAAATCCTAAATGCCCCTTTGAGGTCTGATGCCCCAAAGACTGAAGATATTTCATAAGGTGTTTGGCACATAGTAGGTATTCAAAACATTTTTTTGCATCTGAATCTGAATAACTGAGAATACCACCCATGACATAAATGTTGTAATTTTCCACTTGCTGAAAGTCTTTGAAATAACTCCAGTGGGAAGAAGGGAGATGAAGATGGTTCCTGAGGGGGTTCCAAAGAGAATCAGAAAAGGTCAGCTACCATAAATAAGTATAATTCTTGCAGGAATTCATCACAATCTCCATAAACGCTGATTACTGAACACACCTCCAACCCTATTGTTCCCTGTAACCTTTTCAGACTGAGATGTACTTTTTTGTTGTTGCTAAACAACACATATTCTTTGTAGAAATTGAGAAATGCACAGAAAAACACACAGAAGAAAACTTAAATCTCCTATATGTAATCACATTGAACAGAAAAAATCTATAAACATTCCCCTGTATATCTTCATTTCCACGATACACGTGTATAATATATTTTAAATAGGTGAGAGTTTACTGTACATAATGTATAGTATCAGCTTTTTAAAAATTTAACAATGACTCATAAGCATTTTCCATTTCATTGAGCATTCTTACATAAGTTTAAAGGACTACATAATAGCTCTTGTTGTATGAATGCAAGATAATCTATTTAATCATTCCCATATATGAAGATATTTTATTATTCCTATTTACTTATAAACAAAACCATGTTAACATCATGTAAGAACATATTTGTATACTTCTCTGATTATTTCCTTAGAATAAATCCACTTTTTTGGAATTGCTAGGTCAAAGAGAACAGACACTTGAGTTTTGAGGTACATTGTGGACTTCCCATCTGGAAAGAGTATATTAGATTAAACTCTAACTATATATATATTTCCCTAAAGCTATGTCAATATATTATGATTAAAAATACATTTTCCAATTTGAGAGACAAAAGTCATCTCTCATTTTCTGTAACTTTATTTTATGACAAAAATAATGTGTTCATTACAGAAAACATAAAAAATCTAGACACAAAAAAGAAAAATCACTTACATTCTAATACACATAATTAACCATTAACACTTTAGAGTGAATACATTCTCTCTAAAGCTTTGGTTATTTGTGTGTATATGTAAATGTTCATAGCCATAGATATAAGTACAATTAACATTCTAAAGTGAGGCCTAGTGCTGTGGCTTATGCCTGTAATCCCAGCACTTTGGGAGGCCAATGCGGGCAGATCAGGAGTTCAAGACCAACCTGACCAACATGGTGAAACCCCGTTTCTACTAAAAATACAAAAAATTAGCTGGGTGTAGTGGTGCAAACCTGTAATCCCAGCACTTTGGGAGGCCAATGTGGGCAGATCAGGAGTTCAAGACCCACCTGACCAACATGGTGAAACCCCGTTTCTACTAAAAATACAAAAAATTAGCTGGGTGTAGTGGTGCACACCTATAATCCCAGCTACTTGGTAGGCTGAGGCAGGAGAATAGCTTGAACCCAGGAGGTGGGGGTTGCAGTGAGCTGAGATCATGCCACACTGCACTGCAGCCTGGGTGACAGAGTGAGACCCCATCTCAAAAAAAATAAATTCTAAAGTGAGACGATACATCTATCTTTTTAACTACAAATATCATGAACATTTTTCCTTATTAATTATTCATGTAGAAGAACATTTTAATGGCTGCTGTTTAGTGTTTCAATATACAAATAGAATTTATCTTGCCAAGTGCCCTATGGCTGGTTACCAAAGTTAATTTCAATCATGTAATTTCAAGTTTACTTACTATTAAATAAAGGGATTTTTCATTTGTTTATTGAACATGGATAATTCTTTAGTGATTTGTCTCATTTAGATCTTGTTAAAGATATACTCACAGTTTTCTTCCAAATATTGGACAGCTGGAGATTTCTACAGCAGGCAGGATCAGCAATAGGCCAAGGAGGCACTTGTCACTTCAACATGCAGAGGGGAACATTACTGTAGTCACCACAGTTCAAAGCATCTCATTCAAGCCTAATGAGTTATCTAAGCCTGTTACTGAAAAACAGGAAATCTCAAATTCCAGTCCAGTTTTGACGTCATCAGTTTTTGCAGTCTAGGGCAACATCTTGTTCTACAGACTGCATTCTGCCCAAAGGACATGATAATTACTGACCTGCCTTTTCAGGACTTGCAAACATTTTTAGCAATTCTAAAAATACTGGGGAAGGTGAATGAGTATTCTTTTTGCTCATTACCAGGCAGCAACTTAGTCAAATAATAAGATATGCTGCTGTACTAATAAAAACTTAGACTTCAAAGATTAAAAAAAAAATCAACGCTTAATTGATTCAGAGAGCCTAGTCCATCATCCTTCAGTAACCTAATTACCTGACTTTGTGCAGACACATTAATGAACCATTAGTGCAATCTCATAAATGTATCACTAGCGCTTAGCACAGTACTAGAAACATATGAGAAACTGAAATATGAAATGAGAGAATGAATGAATGAATAAATCTTCTGCTATATTTACATCAAGTTTTCTAATATATGTCACCCACATTGTACTACTGATGACAATTTTGGTTTCAGTTTGACTGTCAGCTGAGGAGTGAGAAGCCTAGGAGCATTCTGATTCCCTTAAATTAGGCCTTAACTAGTTTCCTTTACACATCTAATATCTATGTATTAAAAATAAAGATGTTAAGTATTTAAATTTTCTTTACAAGGATGCTTTGGAAAACTTAAGAAACATTTTTATACCTATAATGTCATTAAATAATAAAGTTAGTAAGCTCTTATATGAAGGGAGGTATCAAGGATGGTAAGTGCGTCACAGCTAAGCTGCAACTGTCGGCAGCAGATAGGAAAAAGAATAACAGTCCCACTACAGGTGAATTTTCAAGGTGGTCAACCACCTCCATATGCTTCTAAATAGTCAGCACTTCAAATAAATAATCTTCACCAAAGACAATTTATTATGTGATTTTTCTTATCCCCCAAATTAATAGAGGACAAAAGGCTATGTTAATTATGTAAAAATCTAACCTTAGTTTCTTCTAAAAATGAAACATATTTATTTGTTTACTATGATTAAGCAGTTTATTTCCTCACAGTACCAAAAGGCAGAACAAAATAAATTGGCTGGTACATTTTAAAAAGCAGCATTTTGCTCATGTTACTGAGGGTGCATTTTTATTAGCTTGAAAGATAAAATAATCCCTAACATATTAGACATTAAAATAGAGCAAGTTAATGCAGTGAGGTAATCATGATTAATCAAAAATAAATCTCTCAGTGTCACCTTAAAATGCACATTGCAAGATTTTTCTCTAAAATCCAAACTGAAATTGCTTTTCATCAAGAACTGAGGAATTTAGAATAGGACGCCAAGAGAAAAACATTCAGAAATTGCCATGGTAGGAAGAGATAGGCCACTGTTTGATTCTCCAACTCAGCTGAATTAAAACCACTGAGAATTAAGTATGAGAAAATGCATTACATAATTCTGGACTTATGCATCCATCACTATTCTATTTCCTTTCATTCTTAACCTCTTAATTTGGAATCAGATTAATAAAATAATTTGAATATAGACTAATATATGAATTACCTGAGTTTAAAAGGTGGTATTGCAATAGGTGGAGAGGAGGGAATATCAAAATCATTACATTTTTTATGTGAAAATGTGTCTATGGAGCACCAATGATATGTCTACAGCTCCCTCCCAAAAACAGAATTATGCTTTATTGATTTATCCAATCAACACACTTGCCTGAGCACAACAAAATAGTTGGTGGAGGAGTGAATAATCACTCTATGAGCTTTGAAATCACCTTCTCTCAACTGCCACCCAAATCTGCTCTTAAATTTTTGCGTTTTAATCAGAATGCTGAGATTAATTGCAATCTGTGTGGTCATTAGCTTTGATTATCAGATCTAGCTTGGGAAATTACGTGAGATATGACAAATTTTTCCCTTCAAATACTGCTTTCTTTTTCATGTTCCATGCAGAGTTTTATCTATGTACTATGGTTTCCTTTGATCAATTAAAAAAGATAAAATTCTGGAAATAGCAATGTAAACATCTCCCTAAAAGCTCTATCACGCAGAAAGTCTCTGGCTATCTTCCGTAAGTCTTAGAAAAAACACTGGGCCTTTGTGGGCTGTTCACTAATCTCTGCTCTCTGTCCTTTTTCCTATGCAAGTAATAGTTCTGCATAATGACTGCAGTTGAACCAGTTTTGCCTCCTAGGAAATTTCTAGGCTCCCACTGTGGAAAGTTGGATTCATATGCTAATATTTTGTGGCTAGCAAAGGACAGTAGTCTTATTGAAAATAGTTTTGGAGGACCTGCAAACCCTCGAAATAGCTTTTCCAAGTGGAAAAATCATCACAGGGAAGTTATTTCCTTTTATGTTTACCTACTTGATAAAATATACTATAATATATTTTAATTAATTAATTTAAAATATTTGAATGAAACATTCCATATAGAAAATGCCAAAATTCAGTATACAATAGCTCACAATCTAGGTATTTTTAACATCATTAGTTGCATACTGTGAAAATATTTAATACAGTGGTTCTCAACTGGGAGAATTTGGCAACATCTGGAGAGATTTTTGGTTGTTACAACTGGGGGTTGCCAAGCATCTAGCGCGTAGAAGCCAGGGATGCTGCCAGACACCCTACAACGCACAGGACACACCAATAGCAAATAATTGCCCAGCCTCTAATTCCAATAGTACTGAGTTGAAAATCCCTATTTCAATATAAAGTTAGTTAAAGGGAAGAAGATGAAGTTGTTGCATATAATACCAGGAAAATAGTTCTCTACTAAACAGCTTTTGATGTATTCAAAATACCACAGTTATTTTCAAGTGTTTGTTCATTCATTCATTTACTTATTTAACAAATATTTATTGAGCACCTATTATACAGAAAGAACTCTAAGTTCCTAAGATTACAACCTTGCACAGAACAGTTATAATTTCACTTCCATGGTAGTTACATTCCAGTTGAGAAATGGAAAGCAATACAATAAATTAAAAATATAGACGTGAATAAAAGAGTGAAATAAAAGTCTCTTTAGAATGTTAAGAATAATTAATCAAAAATGAATAAAGTAAAAATATGTAACAAGTCATTAAAATACTGCTATGTTTTGACAAAACTGAGTATATTCTTTTGTCCTGTAAAAGTCACTCTAAGATCATATTCATCCTTTTTAGCCATCACTTGCCAATGAGACTTCTGGAAAAGAAAGTCTGATTTGAGCGTGCATTTTTACATTCTTTCAATAAAAAATGACCAAAAAGCAAAACGAAAAACGTTTTTCAAGGCATGCATCAATTTGAATACATTGCCCTGTGAATTTTTTGTTTTGTTTTGTCTTCATGGGAGTTGCTAAAAGAGTTGAATAAGCGTAGCATATTACGTATTCCTTGCATGAAAAGCATATTTATGAAAACCACATCATGAAAGAGAAGCAGCACAAGTTCTTCAAGTGAGTAGCTTAGCACAGAAATTCCTGGATTATGAAAATACTTTGCCATGTGTGATCTAAAATATTTTGTGGGCTTTTAGCCTTCCAAAGGAAGATACATGATTTCTCTAAGGCACATTAATACACACTTTATTCCATAGAAAAATTTGAATGTGCTGTGTCTTCTAGATCTTTTTCTTTGAAAGGTGAATGCCCCATCTCCCTCTTCTCACGTGGAGAACACAATGGCTTTCATAACTAGTATTCCTGCTCCTTTCATGCTCTACTGAAATCCATTCTGTACCCAATGTGCACAGTGAATTATTTAAACATAAATCAGATCATGTCACTCCCTTTCTTAAAACTCTTCAATAGGTTTTTCCATTACATGCTGGGAAAAAACAATATATCCTTAACAAGAGTCTGAATTACCTGGCCCCTGCCTCTAGCCACAGACTCTTCTCTAGCCCTTCTCACTGCAGTGAATCTGCTTCAGCCAAACTGACCTCCTTTCAGTGCCCATAACCCACTAAGTTCTTTGCTACCCCAGCGTCTTTGCACCTACTGTTGTTCCCTCCTCTCACCCTGGACCTCTCTACCTAGAGGAAATTTGCCAACCTATCCTTTAATTGTCTATTTCAGTACATGATTTTATTTTTCTTTACAACACTTAACATGGTTTATAACTATACTATTTATTTTTAGTTATTAATGGTTTTCCCAAATAAAATGATAGCTCTATGAGGCTCAAACCATGATACCTTATCCTAATTTGACTCCCATCATGAAACAAGTTATTTAGCACACATTTAGGGTTAAATAGAGATTATTTGAATGAACAAATAAAATAAATTTATTTTGTTTTAAAAAATAGTTACTTTTGCAGGCCACAATATGCAAAACATCTATAATTTCTGCAATTATAGAATTTATTAAGGAGATATTATGAAATAGTAAATACAAATAGTAGAGTCACTTTCACTTATACTTAAATTTTATATTTAGAATATGTGTTACATATAATACAAAAAAAAAATAATTTAATAGCAATTCATGTGTATTTCTCAGGGGAAATGTTTTCTTTCAATAAAATCATGAGGTGCCATGCTGTTACATCAACATCAAAGTGTGGTTATTAATATAACACATCCATCAAAAGGAAGTCACCTGGGTAAACAAATCAAATAGAGGTTTTTCTTCCAATAATCATGGATATTCCCAGAAAGTAAGGAGGCTTCTGCTCTATGGAACCTTTATGTAGAAGGATGATTTTCCTAGCATTAAATACTGATTTCTGTTATCCCAGAGAAGACATATACTATAATGGAAAAAGTATAAAATTACAAGATGAACTGAGCTCTGTTTCCATCTCAGCCACTTCTACAGTTCTGGCCTCTTAGACAGGCTGCTCAATACCTCTGCACCCCACTGTCCTCATTTATGAAATGAAGTGTCAGCCTTTCATATGTTTTAATACCCTATGCCAACTCCTTCTTCTAAACATCTCTCCACAGCAAGCTGCTAATCAACTCCTTCTAATCCCTCCTCTCCCTCACTGCTGGAGGCAGAGCAAACCATTTAGACTTGTGTTGTTCAAAGAGGTAGCCACTAGCTACAAGTGGTTATTGAGTATGTGAAATGTGGCTCGTTGAATTCAAATGTGCTTTAAGTGTAAAATACACATAGATTTTGAAGTCAGTACAAAAAGTAAATTAAAATATCTTATTAAGTTTTATATAAATAACATATTAAAATTAATATTTGAGATATATTCCATTAAGTAAAATATATGAATAAAATTAATTTTAACTATTTTATTCTTAATTAGGCTCCTGGGAAATTTAATATAGGGCTCAAAGTTATGACCTGCACTGTACTTCTATTAGGCAACTTGAGTTAGATAGTTTTTTTCAGTCTGCAATTACTTATTTGACTTGAGGAATATTGTAAAAAAAAAAAAACAAAACAAAACAGTGATTTCAAAAATTCCTTCAAATATTAATATCCAAGTTCCTAATAAGTCTAGGATCATATAATCAAATAGGATTATTATTTTGGGTCATGATTAACACTATATGAGATCCAACACTATTCAATTCCTTTATTGATCCTATTCATCTTATTATTTTCAAATAATAATTTCAAGATCCAGAATTCTCAAGGAATCATCACACAATGATCAGCTACTAAGAAAGAGTAAAAAGTTCACAAACACACATGCACTTTCAGCTCTGCCACACATCATTATTGTGATTTGGGAAGAGAAATTTACCCATTTGAGCCTTTGTTTTCATAAATAAAATGAAAGAGAGGGTGTTAAGAGAAATGTAAATTAATCACCCTAAATCTGGTATATCTAAATGTAATGAGTAATTAGAATGGGACATAATTATAAAATATGACAATAGCAACATATTTGGACTATTTGAACTCTTCATATTTCTAGACCTTCTATCTATTTATTAATTAAATGGAAGACAGCTAAAATTTTACTTCTTTTAAAAAGAATTAAATGAGTTTCTAAAATTCAAAAGAAGAACTGATACCAAGTTCATCTTTTGAGAAGTCATGATGTTTCTATATTTTTTTGCTTTATAGTGTGGCTGCATAATGAATAGTAAGACTTCTTATGATATACTAAAATTTAACGTATCCATCCCTTAGGATAGTTTGAAATAATTCTCCAAGTTAAAGTGAAGGATGAAAGGTGCATTTGATAATGTCCCAAGTGTCATCTGAATTGTAACACTACCATTGCATGTTGTAATTTCAGATTTGCAAGTCTTCAGATATCTTCACTGATATTTTAACTGGGAAATTTGCTCGTTTAATTTCATCTGTTACATCTGACTTACTCTAGGCTCAACTGATAGAATATTCTGAAAGTTAATTTCACATACTCTTTAAGATTCTCTACTTTTCAACCTGTTGAAGCAACCATTCCAAATGGAAATATCAAGGTATTTACAATAATGGCTATAATAAAAGTACCACCTATTTAAATATGTAACATTCTCATTAAGCAAACATTTATTTAATGTCTCCCAAATACCAGTGTCTAGTCAGAAAAAAAAAAAAGTTGCTGCCCTAAAGGATTATAAATGTTATATTTTCAAAGAGATTCTACGTAAAACAGATTCTAAGATCTTTCCAGTAGCCATATGACTGAGAATAAAGGTCCCAAACACAGACAGACTTGGGGGATAGGTAATGTTCTTTTTTGCACCTTACCCCTCACCCTTTTCAGCAATTCCTACCCTCCTTCCCCATCCGTCCCTCTAGGCATCACTTTGCTCTTCTCCAATAATGACCTGGTTTTCTCAAGTAACCACATAACTCGAAGTAAGCATTTAGCTGTCAGCCCTTAGACACAGTGGAAAGGTGTGGGTGATATTTGATGGAAAGGAGGAGAATTTGATTAACTCCCTATAAATGAAGAAAGCAAAATCAATAAATTTATCTTTTATGTTCCTGACAACCAATTCATATCAATAAAACCAAACCTTACATCTTAAGATTGGTTAAAGAATACTTTCTAAGCTTGATTTCTAACATGTAATTTATTCATGAAAGTAACACATGTCTACAGAAAGTATATGTTGAAATACTAAGGATAATAATGAAAACTGAAATCTTTGCTTTTGAAGAAACAGCATTTTTCAGTGAC
The DNA here is from genome assembly GCF_000001405.40 of Homo sapiens. Classification (NCBI taxonomy): domain Eukaryota; kingdom Metazoa; phylum Chordata; class Mammalia; order Primates; family Hominidae; genus Homo; species Homo sapiens. Next base: position 85,597,040 of record NC_000004.12, on the reverse strand, counting down.
AGACTGAGTACACTGCATGAATCTGTTACTTATTGTTCCTTTAATGTGGATATCTTCTTTTTGTTTACAAACGATGGATTTATATGTTTTTAAAGTAATTTTTTTTAAAAATATATTTGGACTTAAAATATTATGATATCTAGTTAAATAATGAAACAAAATATGGACATTTTGAATAACGTTGAAAAACAGTAATGGTAAACTTGAAATTGGATCCCATACTCCTAATTGTGTAGTAAAAAAATCTAGTTATCAAATGATGTAATAGCTTCTTTTTTTAGAACACCTAGGGAAAATTATGGATATTATGTTGAACTGTTTTATATACAAATATTATTCCATTTGTATTTCAGAAGAGTATGCAGGATTTCAGTCCCTTGGATTTGCCATTTTGTGTTTCAGAAAAGCTGGTCTTAAAACTGGGAGACAATTAAGATTATGGGAAGAAAACACATACAGGATTTTAACTGCCTTTTCATAACCACTGGCATCTCAAGCTAAGCCAGAAAAGAATTCCTTGAACCCCTGAGAAGGCTCCATCTCTTTTCTCTTCTCTTACCTCATCCAGCACTTACACAAACATCACTGGAACAACAACACTTTTTATGGCAGACAAAGCAAAAACTGGGAAATGTCACACACATGAGTTGTTTTTGAACAACTGCTATATTATAAAGCTCAGACCTTGACTGCTGATCTCTTTGGCTGCCCACTCTCCACTTCATGTTTGACCTTCAATGCTGGCACAATTCTGGCTCCATTCCCCAAAGCATAAAAGATAGCAAAGTATGTAGAAATCCTTGAGATAAAACTGGACTCATAAAACTGCATTGCTATTTTCTTCAAAGAAAACTAAAGCACATTTCCAAGCATTATTTGGTTTCTACTCATCATATTCCATTCTGTTTATACCAAAAAGCTTTGCTGGGTTACCAGTAACAATACTAGATAGGTAAGAAAAATCATTTTCATGTGCAAAATAATATTTCCTTTTAAGTAACATGTCATCAGCTCCCTGATGAACGTATCTACATGCATCCTAGGCATTGGCATGCAGATAGGAGCTGGAGATTGGAGCAGAGTCAGTTCTTAGCAATAAATCAGACCAAGGGACTTTTATGTTATCTTTTAGATCATCATTACAAAGTCAACCCTAACATTTTGCTAATTACTATAGTATGACCAATCAAATAGAGCCAGTCTTATGGTGATAACCATACCTAGCATTAGTTATCAGACTCCTTAGGAAGTGAATATAGTTTATATAATTCATATAATTCACATGCTACACCTATCTTTGGGATTTTTTTGTCATTACGTCAGTCTCCCTGAAATCATCCTGGGAAGCTTGTTTTCATTTTCCCCCTTCTTATCTTATACTTGTTTCATAAGTCTTATTTGTATTTCTTCACCCATCCTGGTTATCTAACAGCATCTTTCCATTATGTTCCCTAAAGTCTTTTACATAATCCTCAAAGGAAAAGAAGGAACTGATTTTGTAATTCGGTAGAGATATTTTGCATTTATGAGCAAATGCTACACACTGAAGTTCAGCGAGAAATTAGACCATGAATTTCAACATAGGTAAGCTTGGCTTGGTTCTTTAAAGGAAGTTTGCCACTTTGCCTCATGCCTACCAGATAACTATAAATACCACCTGACTTGTTTATAGTTGAGTGCTTTATGTTATCACTTTCTAGGAACAAAACGAACTGAGCGCAAAACAAACAGAATGTACCCTTGGTCTGCCAAGAGATACTCATTTCCGACAGGAACTTCTACTGGGTCTCTGCATGGAAAGGAACTTTCCAATGCCTGATATGTTCCATCAACCTGAGAAAGAGGTTGTTCTCTTACCATGTTTGGTTTATTAGTTCAATATATACTGAGTTATTGGATTGGAGGGAAGTTCTCACATTGTGAAAAGTCTGTTCAATTCATAGGTTACATTATTTATCCAAGCCTGGGAGAAAAGGGAAAGTAGGCTGGGGTAAGCATGGATGTAGAATAGCAATATGGTGAAGGGAAGAGAGCAAGACTGTTACAAAAAAAAAAAGAGGAGAAAGTGAATAGGATTGCAATGTTTGTTGGTTGAGTCACTGTACTTAAATTCATTTTTCTAAATAGACTACATTACTTCCCTACATGCAGAAACATTGAAGAAAAAATTGGGTTTTGTCTAGTCTCTTTTTCACCTCATACGTAGTTAGATAAATTTTAAACAATATTTTAGTTATTTTTGTTTTTAAATTTAAAGACATTGGTGAATGAACTAGCAAAATAATGTAGGTGATTTTTATGGGGCTACAAAAGACTCCTTGTGCCACATACTGTAGAAAGAATAAGTCACTATTGCTTTCTGAGGCACTCTTAGTGTTTTTATTCCTTGATTCAAAAGAGATGGACAGAAAGTAAGATTCCCTTTTTTTATACTAATTAGAAGGCAATTCAATGGCTTTTGAATATAATATTGTGATGGCAGATAGGTATCATCTCTCCTTCTAACTTTGACCAAGTTTTTGCAGTCAAATAGAATGCTATGTTGTGAAGGATTTCAAAGTTCTGGAAGTCCTAGTTACAGCGATCAGACAAGAGAAAGAAATAAGGGGCGACCAAATTGGAAAGGAAGAAGTCAAATTATCCTTGTTTATAGATGATATGCTCTTATGTTTGGAGAAACAAAGACTCCACCAAAAAACTATCAGAACTAATAAACAAATTCAGTAAAGGTGCAGGATACAAAATCAACAAACAAAAATCAGTTCTGTTTCTGTATGCCAATAGTGAAAAATCAGAAAAAGAAATCAAGAAATTAAGCCTATTTACAATAGTTATAAATAAAATAAAATACCTATGAATTAACTTAAGCAAAAAAGTGAAAGATTTCTACAATAAAAACTATAAAATACTGCTGAAAGAAATGAAAGAGGATATTAAAAAAAGGAAAGATCCCATATTCACAGAATGGAAGAATCAAAATCGCTAAAATGTCCATACTACCCAAAGCAATCTACAGATTCAATGCAATCCCTATAAAAATACCAATGACATTCTTCACAGAAATAGAAAAAAAATCCCCAAATTTATACAGAATCACAAAAGACCCGGAATAGCCAAAGCTATTCTGAGCACAAAGAACAAAACTGGAAGAATCACATAACCTGACTTCAAATTATACCACAAAGCTATTGTAACTAAGAGAGCATAGTACTGGCATAAAAGCAGACATATAGACCAGTGTAACAGAATAAAGAACCCATAAACAAATCCACACATCAACAGTGAGCTCCTTTTTGACAAAGGTGTTGAGAACATACATTGGGGAAAGGACAGTCTCTTCAATAAATCATTCTGGGAAAATTGGATATTCATATGCAAAATAATGAAACTGGACCCCCATATCTCACCGTATACAAATCAAATCAAAATGGATTAGGATTTAAGTATAAGACTTCAAACTATGAAACTACTAAAAGAAGTATTGGGGAAACTCTCCAGGACATTGGACTGGGCAAATAATTCTTGAGTAGTATCCCACAAGGATAGGCAACCAAAACAACAATGGACAAATGGGGTCACATCAAGTTGAAAGGCTTCTGAACAGCAAAGGATACAATCAACAAAGTGAAGAGACAACCCACAGAATGGGGGAAAATATTTGCAAACCACTTATCTGACAAGGGGTTAATAACCAGAATATATAAGCAGCTCAAATAACTCAATAGAGAAAAATCTAATAATCCAATTAAAATGCAGGCAAAAAATACCTGAATAGGCATTTCCCAAAAGAAGACATACAAATGGCAAACAGTTATATGAAAAGGTGCTCAACATCATTGATCATCAGAGAAGTACAAATCAAAACTACAATGAGATATCATCTCACCAGTTAAATTGGCTTTTATCCAAAAGACAGGCAATAACAAATGGTGATGAGAATGTGGAGAAAAAGGAACCCTCATATGCCATTGGTGGGAATGTAAATTAGTACAATCACTATGGAGAACAGTTTGGAGGTTCCTAAAAAACTAAAAATAAAGCTACCATATGATCCGTTAATCCCATTGCTAGGTATACAAAGAGATATCTGCACCCCCCATGTTTATTGCACTGTTCACAATAGCCAAGAATTGGAAGGAACCTAAGTGCCCATCAACAGTTGAATAGATAAAGAAAATGTGGTATGCAATGAAGTACTATTCAGCCTTTAAAAAGAATGACATCCTTTCATTTGGAACAACATGGATGGAACTGGAGTTCATTATGTTAAGTGAAATAAGCCAGGAACAGAAAGACAAACTTTTCTTGCATATTCTCTCTTATATGTGGGAGTTAAAAATTAAAACAATTGAACTCATGGAGATAAGACAGTAGAATGACTGGTTACTAGAGACTGGGGAGGATAGTGGGGTCAGGGAAGTGGAGATGGTTAATGTGTCCAAAAATATAGTCAGATAGAATGAATAAGGCATAGTATTTGATAAGACAAGAGGTGACTATAGTCAATAATAATTTAACTGTAAATTTTAAAATAACTAAAAGAGTATAATTAGATTGTTTGTAACACAAAGACAGGATAAATGTTGAGGTTATGGATACACCATTTAAGCTGATGTAATTATTACACCAGAATTATTAAACCAGAATATATAAGGAGCTCAAATAACTCAATAGAGACAAATCTAATAATCCAATTAAAATGTGGGCAAAAAATCTGAATAGGCATTTCCAAAAAGAAGACATACAAATGGCAAACAGTTATATGAAAAGGTGCTCAACATCATTGATCATCAGAGAAGCATTCATCTTGTATACTTGTATCAAAATAGCTCATGTACCCTATAAATCTATATTTCTACTATGCACCCACAAAAATTAAAAGTTAGAGAAAACAAAGTTCTTTGTCAGGCCAGTGGGGAAGGAGTGCTAGGACAAAATAGGCAAGTCTGCTTTAAGAGGGAAGGAACAGTGGGAGTCACATCTGACAAATCCAGCCCAAGGTCACGGGTCAGATTATAGAGCCAGAGGTTTTCAAAATTGCTTTCCCTTCTGCCATGATACACATAATTGGTAGTATGCTAACAATAACAAAAATTTGTTATTGTGGTGGTGTGGGGAGTGTGGTTGGTTGGCTGTGGTATGGTAATACTATTAACAAACATTTACATCATATTTTCTGTATGCCAGGTACCATGCTAAGTGCTTCATACATAGCATCTCATTTAATCCTCACAAGAATCCTTTGACATAGTTTTGACTTACCCTCACTTCCCAGAACTCTAAATCCACTTCCCTCCTTTTCCCTTGCAATGAAGAAAATGTCAGAGTGCACGTGAGTATTACAGGGATAATCTTGAGCCGCTGCAATTTATAAAAAGTAAATCTTTCTCAAGCTAATACTTTAACTAATGACTTGTGAATTTATGTGACTTGTGACTAATGGCTTGTGACTTGTAACTAATGACTGTGACTTGTAACTAATGACTAAGTCTGACACAAGAGTATGTTGACATTAGAGTTGAGCACTGCAGTATTACACTTTGCTATTCTTGTTTCCCAGACTCACTCCCTAATTCCAAACTAAATGTGATGGAAATGTGTGTTTCTGATAAAAGTAGAAAGCAGATGAGCATTGGTAGATATGTGATTACCAATCCCCCAACCATGCAAGAAAATCTGTTAAAAAGGCAGATCTAGTCGGGCATGGTGGCTCACGCCTGTAATCCCAGCACTTTGGGAGGCTGAGTTGTGTGGATCACCTGAGGTCAAGAGTTCCAGAGCAGCCTGGCCAAAGCGGTGAAGCCTCATTTCTACTAAAAATACAATAATTAGCCAGGCATGGTGGCGCCATGCCTGTAGTCCCAGATACTCAGGTGCCTGAGGCAGAAGAATTGCTTGAACCCGGGAGGCAGAGGTGGCAGTGAGTTGAAATTGTGCCATTGCACACCAGCCTGGGCTACAAGAGCAAAACTCCATCTCAAAAAAAAAAAAAAAAAAAAAAAAAAAAAACCCAGCAGATTTTACAGGTTAGTGCTGCATGGGAAAGGCATTATAAATAATTTTTGTACAGCCTTTCATTTTGCAAATATGAAAACTAAGACTGATGGTTTTAATTTATATTTGACTACTCTTTATTTTTTTCCTGTACATATTTTTAAAAGTCATGACAAATTTCTTTAAAAAGTGAAGATCCTTATGTTAAATTTTAAATAAACAGATATTTCAGTCTACTTAAAAGTACAATAATAATTTTGATGAAAGTTTTGGGGAGTTTTCAGTAGTAAAATTAGTTTTACTATAAAGTATGTTCTTTTGGAGGAAAACCACGGCAGACAGAAAGTACTCAATGAGTGTTTATTTTAATTAGAAAAAGAAGGAAAGGGTCAGGTGTGGTGGCTCACACCTGCAATCCCAGCACTTTGGGAGGCCAAGGCAGGTGGATCACCTGAGGTCAGGAGTTCAAGACCAGCCTGGCCAACATGGTGAAACCCCGTCTCTACTAAAAATACAAAAATTAACTAGGCGTGGTGGCATGCACCTGTAGTCCCAACTACTCGGGATGCTGGAGCAGGAGAATCGCTTGAACCCAGGAGGCAAAGGTTGCAATGAGCCGAGATCTCACCACTGCACTCCAGCCTGGGCGACAGAGCGAGACTCCATCTCAAAAAATAAAATAAAATAAAATAAAAAATAAAAAGGAGGAAAGAAGAAAGGGAGAAAAAAAGGAAAGGAAGGGAAGGGAAGGAAAGAAGGAAGGAAGGAAGGGTGGGAGGGATGGAGGGATGGAGGGAGGTGGGAGGAAGGAAGGAAGGAAGGAAGGAAGGAAGGAAGGAAGGAAGGAAGGAAGGCAGGCAGGCAGGCAGGCAGGCAGGCAGGCAGAAAGAAAGTTAGTTTTCTCATTCCAAACAAATTAACATTTCATTTACATTAAACAATCATTTGCTAAACATTAGCATCTTTGTGTTACGAATTCACTGTCTTGTGATTACACAGTAAGTATTACTTTAAGAACAATTTCCTTTTCTTCTAAAAGAGGGATAATCTAAATTAACATGCAAAATGCACATATTAGTAATTAGTCAAACAAAAATGTGGATGGCATGAAAATTTGCAATGTGCAGCAATGGCTTTGAAAAATATCAGATCCAACTTCCAGACTTATAATTAAGAAGGAATTATTTTGTAAAATAAAAAATCCATATTTTATTTTTAAACTCTTGAATCTATTTTGAAAGAATTCTTTAACATATAGGATTAGTATGTACTGCACATATTTATTAAAGTATTTTGACCTAATGGCAGATGCTCCAGCCAAAGAGATCTCTCTAGCTATATCCCAAGAGGAATTATTAGTTTCAAAAGAAAGGACCCAAAGGATAGCTTGATATTGGGAAGCGAAGGAAACAAAAAATATATCTCTGGCCGGAGATGTAGAAGATATTAACAGGAACCAGACTCATTAATTACCTAGTAAGTTTTCAGGCATGGTCCCAAAATGGTCACTACCATGATTACATGAGAAAAAGAACTTACTCAAATATTAATTGTAACAAATAAAAATTCCTGTCCCTAGTCAAGTCAATCAGTCCTACCATCTCCTATCCTCTGGCAAGTTGTGTTTTTTGTTTGTTTTAGTTTTGTATATGTGTGTTAAAAGGCTAAAATAATGAATGACATATGAATAAAATACACATTTCAAGAACTATCAAAATTTCAAGCTAAAAGAAACATTAGATGTCAACCCAATGCAATCTTCTACTGGTTTAAGATGAGAAAATGAGGATCCAGAGTCATTAACTGGCCAGGCTTTAGGTGGCAGTTAGGACTAAAATCCACTGCTAGGACTCTGACATCGGCCAGATCACAATTCTGTTTGTTATCAGACATAATTCACCTACATGCAAATACCCACAGAAGCTTCACTCTGCAAAACTATAAGGAGGTGGTGAAGTTTACAGAATCTCTATTCATTATATGCCCACATCTCTGAGGCCCAATGCAATTTATTTTACAAAGTTGTCTTCACCTACAAGTTTCACCTTGCAGGTGATTTACCTCTGAGAATATTATCTGATGGCCTTTAGAGAGGAGCCAACTTTTTATGCTTCTCCATTTCAAGTCAGTTCAACATTAAATTAGAAACTTCATGGAGCAGAAAGAGTGGTTTAGTATTCAGGGTACAAAGTCTTCAACAATAACTGTCTTCATACTCTTCCTATGCATGTTAGAAACTTTGTATTGATAATAAAATACTAAAATTGTTGAAATCTTAGAAATCAAATAAAAATTTTGTTTATTTTAAACTCTTAATTACTTATTTAAAACTATCTCAGAAAGAAAAGTAGAAGTCAATAATATATACTTCTCTGTAATGAATTTCTTATCATCATTACACTTTAAAGAATCAGATGCCCACGTCCAAAATGAATTTATGGTACTTCTTCAGTCCATAGACATTAATTGAGTGCATACTGTGTGCACACAATGTGCTATATGAGAGGGTCCCTGGACTCAAGGGGTCACAATAAGACAGGCGAGCTAATAGCGACCTTACATGAAAAGTGCTATCAAACAGATATTTGCAGGACTCAGAATTCAGATGAGAAAGCCACTAATTTCCACCCCCATCCTCCAGGCTGGGCAGAGAATGAAGAAGGGAATCATGGAAGGGCAGAAAGGCATGAAACATGCTTTTATTTTCTCTTAAAACAACAAATGAAAACTATTACATTAAAAGGCAGCAAGAAGCATTTAGCAAGCACAAAACGTCAACAATTAAAAAGCAACAGCAGGCTTCTGTGAAGAACCCAATCATGTGCATGCATAGCATTTAGTGACTGGCTGATCAAGAAAAGCAACTCTGCCTCTTGGTGAGGCTGACAGTGTGTTCAAGATAAAGGCAGGGATGACTGAGAAATCCCTTGGTGATGAGGTTACCAGCCCACAGGCCTGTTTTCCCTCTGCATGTTATCCCCTCAGCCCAGCATATCCTT